>NC_000014.9:62338985-62642016 GCF_000001405.40 Homo sapiens
GTGATGTTGCCCATCTCTTTTCCCCTTTTCCTCTATTTTTTCTCTTAAACCTACAGACATGCTTAAATTATCTCTCAGTCCTAACATGTCATTCAATCCTCTACCCCTCTGCCAGTGTCAGATCCTGGGACTCTGCTCTTTCTTGCCCATAGTGGTTCTCGTAAGAGTCTTGCTGTGCATCCCGTTCTGCACCACTCGCTGACTCCTTGGCTGTCGGCTTCTGCTTCTTCCACTTTATGGGAAACACTGCAGAGCATGACTCATGAGCAAATTTAAGGGCCTTTTCTATCTTGACTCTTCCTGACTTTTTCTATAACATAATTGAAACCCCTTTATTCTTTTAGAAATTCTGTTTTACCTTCTTAGATGTTATATTACCCTGGTTCTCCTGTCTAAATCTGGAGTTGACAAACTATGACCCTCAGACCAAATTTGGTCCCCTGCCTTTTTGTGTAGTTAAGTTTTTATGGGAACATAGTCATGTTTATGTAGCATCTATGCTGTTTTCATACTATAACAGCAGCAGTAGTTGCACCAGAGGGCTGTGGGAGTAGCAAAGCCAGAAAAATTTACTACCTGGCCATGTACAGAATAAGGTTGCTAACTTCTGCTCCAAATGATGATTTTAGGTCTCTACACCAGGGGTGTCCAATCTTTTGGCTTCCCTGGGCCATCTTGGAAGTAGTATTGCCTTGGGCCGCACATAAAATACACTAACACTAATGATAGCTGATGAGCTAAAAAAAAAAATGCAAAAAAACTCATAATGTTTTAAGAACATTTATACATTTGTGTTGGTTGGACAGCATTCAAAGCTGTCCTGTGCTGCATGCGGCCCATGGGCCATGGGTTGAACAAGCTTGCTCTATACCCTTTCTTGCACGTAAATGCATTACAGATCACACAGGGCCATTTCTGGATATTTTTTCCCTTTTTTCTGTACCATGTCCTGCAGAAATCACCTCCATTTCCCTTCTTCTACACCCCACCTCCCTGAGGTCAGTATTCAAACATCTCTCCAGTCCTGGATACTCTCTGGAGCTCCAGACCCCTAACACATTTTCATGTGATTTAAGGGACATCACCACATAGGTGTTCTACTAACACCTGATGCTGAATGTCCTTAACCTTCTACATGAAGGAGTCACACCTCCTGATTTCCTGTTAAGTCCATCACTGTCTGTTTATGATGCTATCGGCAATTTCTTTTACCACTGTTGATAGTTTACAATGCATATTCATGTCTGGTGCCTCAATCTTCCCCATTATTCACTATTATTTCCTCTACTCTTTTCTCCTAGATTCTCACATTTGTGAAATTCCTGAATTCTGTGGAGTTGACATCTACAATATCCTCATACCCAGCCTTTCCTTTTCATGCCCACTGCCACTACCTTAGTCAAACCCTCACACTCTGTCACCCAACGGGCAGCTTTTGTGTGTCTCCATGGTGTTTTTGCAACACTACAGAATTAATATTTTTATAAAGGGAAGTTATGATCAGATCTCCTCTGGTCAAGAAGTTTCACCTTTTCTCTATTGCTTATCAAATAGTGTCCACACTTAACAGCCTGCTGTATATTTGAATTCATCTGACCAACTGGGCTCTCTGATCTCCCTGAACATGTCTCATGAGAATTCATTTGTTTACTTTTTCTCATGCTGTTTCCTCTGTCTAGACTGGCATTCTCTAATCTCTTTAGATCGGATTCATTTAGGATCTTTTTGGAATATAAGCTACTCCATGAAAATTGTACTAACCTCCTCAAACAAATAAGATCTGTTCTTACTTTGCACCCCAACAGCACTGGACTTGCTATTCTACTGACTCTTGGATTTCTTGTTTCTGTTGAGTATTTGTTAAGCATTTATTTCCCCTGCTAGGCTGAAGGACCTGCATTTGGGGACCGGTTTTCACTTATCGAGAAGCTCCATTTTAACCTAGCAGGATAATATAGGTAATTCCAAATGAAGTCACTTTAAATATTTTTTTGGATGAAGGTTAACAATATAAATACATCCAAGTGCATTCGTAGAACAAGTATTTTTGAAAAAACACACTGAACAAAGTCAATTTTTTTCACATCTAATTTTTATTTTCTTTACCATAGTATGACTACAATCTATAAGGCTGCAGAATAAAACCATGTTCTCAAAATGGCCTCACATATTTAGCAATGTGTAGGCTCTATTAGTCTGCCAGAAATATGATCAAGTGACAAGAATTGAGACCCAGAAGTCCTACAGGTGGATGTGTGGAAGGTGGATGCCATCCATACACAGTGCACTTTGCCACAGCCCCCTCTCTCTGCATTACATTCATCCTAGTGTTTTCTCATTTAGGTTTTTCTTGTGCTTTTAGTTCATTCTTGCAATGATGTCTACCAGTGCTTTTAATAACTGAAAATATAAATATTATTTGTAAAACATTTAGCCAGTATGATCTTCCCTCATTAAATTTGTTAAATTTATGATCATATGTCTTCATAAGTCCAATTAATTGCTAAAGGCTTCACCACTCCTTTTTAAATACAAATATGTTTATTTAAACTGAGAAAGGGGCAGGGAGTAGCGGTGGGAAGAAAGGATCCTTGCAAGAGATGGACCTGGAGTTTGAGCTCTAAATTTACCACTGGTCACCCTCATCACAGGTAGCCCATTTGCCATGTGGTCATGTCACCCCTTTTCTTCCAACCATACCTTGTCCTTACTCGACTGTGCTCTCAGCAGGTGAGTTTGTCTGTCCTGGCCACTAAGTTCAGACATTGAATTGGCCAATGTTTTCCCTTTTTTTTCTGTACATTAAATTTTAAGTTGACAGATAACCATATATATTTATGAGATACAATGTGATGTTTCCATACATGTATACCTTGTGAAATAATCAAATCAGGCTAATTAACATATCCATCACTTCACATACTCCCTTGTGGTGAGAACATTTAAAATCCAATCTTTGAGTAATTTTGAAATACACATTATTATTAACTGTAGTCACCATACTGTGTAATAGATCACAATAGCTTATCCCTTTTGCCTAACTGAAACTTTGCATCCTTTGACCAACATTTCCCTTTTCACGAATTCTTCCCCAACCCAACCACTGGTAACCATCATTGTACTCTCTAATTCTATGCATTCAACTTTTTTAGATTCCACATGTAAATGAAGTCGTGGGATTTGTCTCTATGTACCTGACTTACTTCACTTAGCGTAATGTCTTCTAGATTTATCCATATTGTTGGAAATTACATAATTTCTTTCTTTTTAAAGGCTGAATAGTATTCCATTGTGTGTGTGTCTATATATGTGTATATATATGCAACATACATCTATACATACACACCGTATCTTAAAAAATTCATTCGTCTGTTGATGGGCACTTCAGTTGTTTCCATGTCTTGGCTATTGTGAATAATGCTGCAACGAACATGGGTTTACCTATTCTTTTTTTTTTTTGAGACAGAGTCTCGCTCTGTCACCAGGCTGGAGTGCAGTGGCATGATCTTGGCTCACTGCTACCACCGACTCTGGTTCAAGCTATTCTCCTGCCTCAGCCTCCTGAGTAGCTGGGATTACAGGCACGTGCCACTACACCCAGCTAATTTTTGTATTTTTAGTAGAGACGGGGTTTCACCATGTTGGCCAGGATGGTCTCGATCTCCTGACCTCGTGATTCACCTGCCTCGGCTTCCCAAAGTGTTGGGATTACAGGCGTGAGCCACCGTGCCTGGCCAGGTTTACCTACTCTTAATGGAAAGAAGTCAGTCTGGAGGACTGAGTTGTCCAAAAATAATTAGGGCATGGATAGAAGAAATAGACATGTTAATAATTCTTTTTATAGCTTCTGTTGTTTCTCATGCCATGTAGTCTTACTATAAAAAGCTGGTCTTTTGCAACCAACTCTGCAGCTATGCCCTTGCTGATTCAGGCCCAGATAGATTTTATGCACATGTGACTCCTGGGCTTTAAGATTACACTGCCTGGCTAGCACTCATAAGCTGATATACCTTTTGTATCCAAACCACGTTGAGTGAACATACAGTATCTGAACCAATTTTCCCTGACACATTGAGGTCATCACATCCATCTTTTGTGAGGGAATGCAGAGTCAGAATATCTAGAAGTTACCAAGAAATGTAGTTCACATCTGGAGAAGGTAGGAGAAGCTGTGTGAAGTTTAGGTAAGAGGTCTTCTGTGAGACCTCTATGAATAGAGCTTTCTCTTGGATATTTTACTAAATTGAGGCCAGATAGCTCTACGGGAGCCCATCTCCACTTCAAAGAACCACTCATAGGTGGTTGCCTCTCTCATTAGTCCTCATTAATCTTATTCTCATTACTCTCCTTTCTCACATTTAGAAAGATGAAATGGCTCTTTTTTTTTTCTTGAAAACTGGTACTAATAATAATGAGAGTTCAAAATGAAGATTTACTGAGTTCCAGGTGCTGGGCCAAATAGTGTACATGTGTGATCTAATTTAATCCTTAACACTACCCTACAAGATAGACCTTATCTCCATTTTACAGAAGGGTAAATCAACACAGAGAAGTTTGCTGACTCGCCCAAGTTTACATAAAAGTATTAGTAGGCTGCAGACTTGGGTGAACCAAACTCTGTCTTAGTTTAGAGTTCATTTTTTCAATCCTCAACTTTTTAAAATATTTTGAGGAGAGATCTTAAGTTCAGAAGTAAGAAGGACTTGCTGGGTGCTCTTTGAGTCATCATTTTGGGATAGACCTTCATTAATACAAGCATTCAGAGACTGCCTTTAAGCAATTCTCATTAGGGGTCTAATTAAACATTTTGAGCTGTTCCTAAAGTTGATGGTGCTATCCCTTGTTCAATAGTGTAATTGAAAGTGGCTGAGCACAGATGAGTCAGGCTTTCTCATCGCTTCTACAAACTTATTATAAGCTCATTAGTGTCAAGTTAGCTGTGGCCTAAACAATGTCTCATCCTCCATCACAATGCCACAGAGAAGACATGAGGATCAAGATGTATGCTCTTCAGAAGAGCTTTCTAGGGCTACTCTCATGACCGGGTGAAGGAGCACAGTATATGGTGGCTGCAGGAAGAGCTAATTAAGTCTTGGATGTGGTAAAAAGAATAACTTTCAAAGCAGAAGAAGAATGAATTTTAGAGTGGATATGTAGAGTGGCAATTAAAAGAGGCTGCACTCTTGTGGTCATCAAATTAAGAAGTACAGAGGTAATATAAGAGTGTAAAGGGGCCGGGCACAGTGGCTCATGCCTGTAATTCCAGCACTGTGAGAGGCTGAGGTGGGTGAATCACTGGAGATCAGAAGTTTGAGACCAGCCTGGCCAACATGGTAAAACCCCATCTCTACTAAAAAAAAATTCAAAAAAAAAAAATAGCCAGGCATGGTGGCGGGCACCTGTAGTCCCAGCTACTTGGGAGGTTGAGGCTGTAGAATCGCTTGCACCTGAGAAACAGAGGTAGCAGTGAGCCAAGATCACGCCACTGCACTCCAGCCTGGGCAACAGAGCAAGACTCTGCCTCAAAAAAAAAGTAAAAGTAGAAAAGAAAATATCAAAAGAAGGAAAACCTGGAATATGCATTAATATTTAGCTTGTTTTCAAATCCAAAGAACATGCTTATTTTGGAATACAGTTATGTGATGCTTACTGATGGGGATACGTTCTGAGAAATGGTGTAATTAGGAGATTTCATCATTGTGTGAACATCACAGAGTGTACTTACACAAACCTAGATGGATAGCCTACTTACTACACACCTAGGCTATATGGTATAGCCTATTGCTCCTTGGCTATAAACCTGTATAGCATGTTACAGTACTAAAAACTGCAGACAATTATAACACCAGGAAGTATCTGTGTATTTAAACAGAAAAAGTACAGTTAAAAATACAGTATGAAAGATGAAAAAATGTTTCACTTGTATAGGGCACTTACTATGGCCACCAAAGAAACTGGAAGTGTATGAGGTGGTGAGTGAATATGTGGTAAATGAATGAGTGGTGAGTGAATGTGGAGGCCTAGAACATTACTGCGCACTACTCCAGACTTTATAAATACTGTACATATAGGCGTACACTAAATTTATAAAGCCTTTTTCTTTAGTAATAAATTAACCTTAGCTTGCTGTAACTATTTTACTTTATAAACTTTTAAGTTGGAACTATTTTACTTGTTCGTAATACTTAGCTTAAAACACAGGCCAGATGCAGTGGCTAACACCTGTAATCTCAGCACTTTAGGAGGCCAAGGTGGGTGGATCACTTGAGGCCAGGAGTTCAAGACCACTCTGGCCAACATGGTGAAACCCCATCTCTATTAAAAATACAAAAATTAGCCAGGCTTGGTGGTATGTGCCTGTAATGCCAGCCACTCAGGAGGCTGAGGCAGGAGAATGGCTTGAACCCAGGAGGCAGAGTTTGCAGTGAGCTGAGATTGCACCACTGTACTGCAGCCTGGGTGACAGAGTGAGACTCCATCTCAAAAACAAAAAACCACAAACATGTCATACAACTGTACAAAAATATTTTTTCTTTATGCAATTATTCTATAAGCTTTTTTGTATTTTTAAAATTTGTATACTTTTTATACTTAAAAATTTTTTTTGTTAAAAATCTAAGACACAAACACACATTAGACTAGGCCTACATGGGGTCAGGATCATCAGTATCACTGTCTTCCACTTCCACTTCCACATCTTGTCCCACCGGGATGTCTTCAGGGGCAATAATGCATGGAATTGTTATTTCCTATAACAACAATGCTTTCTTCTGGAATACCTCCTGAAGAACATGACTAAGGCTTTTTTCCAGTTTGCTTTTTACTTTTCATTAAGTAGCTGGAGGTTGCCCTAAAATAATGATAAAAAGTTTAGTATAGTAAATATATAAACCAGTAACGTAGTCACTTATTATCATTATATATGCTATACATAATTGTATGTGCTATAATTTATACAACTCTCAACACAGTAGGTTTGTTTACACCAGCATCAACACAAATGTGAGTGATGTGTTGTGCTTCATCATTATGATGGCTAAGTCATTACTAGGCAATAGGAGTTTTGTTTTGCTCTATTATAATCTTATGGAACCACTGACATACATATGGTCCATCATTGACCATAACATCATTATGTGGTACATGACTGTACTTAAGTAATGGAAGGAATGGCAGGGATATGAGAAGAAAAAGGGAGGTTAGTAAAAAGGTTGAGGTGAAAAAAGAATTTGAAGCATAACCCTATAATAAGTAGATGAATTTTGTTAATAACTTTGGTCCCAGTGGCAGGGCTGTTTCTAGTGTGCAAGATTCCTCCACACATAGGACTATTTGAATTTCACAGCCAATCTATCAAATAAGGAAGGCAGAAAGTCTTAGCCACATTTTAAATGTAAAATATAAATGTGAAATGGAAAAATGGAGAAACTGGAGCTAAGAAAGGTAGAATAATTTTCATTAGGTCATATAGCTATGCTTGTAATACTTCTTCAGATGCTGTGGTTCACCAGCTCATTTTTTTTTTCCTCAGATATTCTAGAAATTTCTGTACTGTTAATGGAGTCCATCTCCCTTTACCAATGCAAATCCACACTAATGGTTGGGAGTCAACACAGAATCAGGAAGAAGAATGTTAGAGTCTATGATGAAATATAAAAGATTAGCTGGACTGGAGTTTAAGTACTTAAGACCTGTGACCCAAAGTAACATGCTCTCTGTAGTTTCTTCCATGCTGCGGTGAAATAGTTCATGGAAATGTTAGCTTGGCTGAATTCATTTAATACAAAAGGTCTTTATTTTGTTTATAAAAAGTGTCTGGTAGTGTTGTAAATGTTTATAGTATATTGTAATGAGATTGCAGTGTTCACATTTCTCTACCTGTAAGTACAGTTTAAGGCTTATTAAATAGCCTTATTATTATTATTTTCTGACCAGGGCATTTTATTGTTCCATGTATCTTCAGGCATAGCCATTAAATGGGAACCACAGCTTCATTTAAAAACTGGGTAGAGCAGGGGTGTCCAATCTTTCGGCTTTCCTGGGCCACACTGGAAGGAAAAGAATTGTATTGGGCCACACATAGAATACACGAACACTAACAATAACTGATGAGCTAAAAGGAAAAAAAATCTCTTAATGTTTTAAGAAAGTTTACGAATTTGTGTTGGGCTGCATTCAAAGTCATCCTGGGTGGCATGCGGCCCACGGGCTGCAGGTTGGACAAGCTTGGGCTGGAGATTGTGATAATTAGTAGAGCTAGGTTGAAGTCAAGGCTGACCAGGGTGCTCAGGACTCCAGGGAGCTCAGGACTCCAGGGAGCCAGGCTTAAGGGCAGACTGGAAATTCGGATGCTCACAGTCATGCTTGCCTGCGGTGCCCTTTCCCAAAGTTTAGTAATCACATATCTTGAAAGCTGCAGTAGAGAACAACTCCCAGGTGACATTCATTACCTTAAAGTGCTAGACTTTGACAGAGATCTTCTGCTCTAGAAGTTGTCCTGAAATTTCCAAAAACAAGGAGATTTGAGAGCTGGAGAGGGTAACACAGGGAGAACTACAGTGACTGATGTAGAGCTGATTCTGGGCGGTGTAATCGGACTGCAATCTGCATAAACAACTCTCAGAGGAACATCTGCCATGCCTTTGGGTAAGTGACATCTTTTTCCCCATATTATTCTTGGACTCAAGGCATGAAAAACAAATGAAAGTCTGAATGGTGTGACATTTCTGGCGGTGCTTATGAGCTTCATCCTGCCTGCACATATTTAAAGGGAACCCATGCAAATTATTTCCAAGTCAGGCGTGACTCAATGTGACAGTACCTCCAGAAACCTCCGCCCCATGAAGCAGCTTTCCTTTTTCCCTGCAGAGAGCATTATCATTTTGCCTCATGTTGCTGTCTCAGCATTTAAAGTCTGATACTAATTCTACTGATTGGTCCTGAGTTCAATTCTGTATTCTGAATTATATCCTGCATATGTTTTGTGCACTCACTGGTGGTGTTATTGCTAATGATAAACATGATGGTGATCTGTTTGGACAGGGATTCTCAGCCATCGTCTAGTCAGAAACAGCCAATTAATGAGCTCAGGAACTGGAGTGCAAGAGATGGTGAGGCTGACAGATCCAATAGGTGTAGTGAGGAATGTGACGGAAAGAAGGCTAAAGAAACCTACCTGAGGCAGTCCTTACAGAGGATGGCTGCGAGGGAATCCTGAGACTTCACCAAGTTTGGGTTAGAAATCTTTTAGTTGGATGTATGACAGTGCTTCGATTTCAAATTAGAAAATTTTCCATCTGCAAGTTCAAAAGTGGCCTCATTCTTTTTTACTTTATAAATTTTAAATTATGCATTATGTGTATAATAATAATTATGTGTATAATAGTTATACATATTTGTAAGGTGTGTGTGATATTTTGATATAAACGTATGATGTGTAGTGATCAAACGGGGTAACTGGGGCATCAATCATTTCTTTGTGTTAGGAACATTCTAATTTCTATTCTTTTAGCCATTTTGAAACATACAGTAAATTATGGCTAACCAATATAGATGAAAGTGTTTTAAGGAGAAGAATGTCATCATTCATAGCAAGATCTCAGCTGCCTGCTGGTTGGTGTCTGTGACTATAGCACATGTTTTTTGCCATGTTGGTGCAAAACACTTGAATTCCCATGGGAAAGGAAATAATAGGATGTGATGAAGTCAGAGGTATTCTAGTTGGGCTTCTCACTGTCCTGGTTTGGGCGACATGGCAATCTTCAAAGAGATCTATGATCGTTAAAACCTCTACCCTGACCAGAAGGTAGGGCCATGCTGGTAGGTGCTGAGGACGCAGCATTGAGCCAAAGAGGATTATTCTCAAGCCTCTAAATCTAAAGGAATTTGTCCTGCTAGGTTTTGAATTTGCTTGGGACCCATTAACCCTTTCTTTCTGATTTCTCCCTTTTGGAATGGAAAGGTCTATTGAATGCCTTGTCCCACCCATTGTATTTTGAAGGAAGATAACTTGTTGCCTGGTTACACACGTTCACAGCTGAAGAGAAATTTGCTTCAGGATGAATCATAGCTCCAGCCTCACCCATACTTGATTTAGATGATATTTTGAGCAGACTTTTGCTGAAATGGGTTAAGACTTAAGGGCTGTTGGGATGTGGTGAATGTATTTTGCATGTAAAAAAACATGAATTTGGCAGGAGGAGGGCAGAGGATAGGGTGTTATGGGCTGAGTTTTGTCCCTTACAAAATTAATATGTTGAAGTCCTTACCTTCAGTTCCTCAGAATGCAACTGCATTTAGATATAGGGTCTTTAAAGAGGTAATTCCTTTATATTTTATCATTTCTATTTACATAAAAGGAAGCCCCTGGAGTAGAACTACCTTTGGTCCTGAGCTGAGGATTACTTAGGCACAAGCCTCAAAAAACCACACATGCGCGTGCACAGCACACCCCCACCCCACTATAATGGGGTATGTTAAAGGGACACAGGGGCCAGCTGGAAGAGCTCCCAGTGGTCACAGCTGGGAAAATTTGAGTGACAAAATAAATAAAAGGGCATTGGATTATAACTCAAAGTATAAAATATCTACAAGTTCATACTGAAATCAAAAATTATTACATATATAAATAAATGAGGGAGAATAGGGAAAGCTCTCCTGCAGAAGAATTACAAATAATTTATAGATATACTCTGGCCACAAGAAAATGGAACATAACTTCCCACTCCTTAAGTGTAGATTGTGCATAGTGAATTCCCTGTATAGAATACAGAAAGGGGAAAAAAATAACTCGACAGTGGAGAAACTTGATAAATATCGCCTTAGTCACATGATCAAGGTTAACATAAACAGTGATATGTTATACTGTTATTATGTACCCTTTATATAATGTGATAAGAATGGCAGTGCACCACCAGAGTCTTCCAAAAACCCATAAGCTCAGTCAAACTATAAGACAATATCAGAGAAATCCAAAATGTGGGAAATTCTTCAAAATATTGAGAGTCCTTCTACTAGGTTGGTGCACAAGCAATTGTGGTTTTGCACCAACCTAATAAAAACTGGCGAGGTTATCAAAAACAAGAAAAATATGAGGAACTGTCACAGCCTAGGGGAGCCGAAGAAGACATGACGATGTAATATGGTATCCTGGGTGGGATCCTGGAGTAGCAAAAAGAAACTAGGTAAAACTTAAGCAGATCTGAATTAAATGTGGGCTAAAGTTAATAATAATGTATCAATATTAGTTTATTAATCATGGTGTACCATATTAATGTAAGTAGTTAATAATAGGGGAAATTAGGTTAAGGTATATGGGAACTCTGCACTAGCTTCACATTTGTTTAATGTCAAACTATTCTAAAACAAAAAGTTTATTTAAAAAATCAAAACAGAAAGTTGAAACAGAATATTTTGTCTTTAAAATAATTATTGTGGTAAAAACACTTAATATCAGGTCTATCCTCTGAAATTTTTTAAACTTTATTTTTAAATTAACCAATAATTGTATGTGTTTGTAAAGTACCTTGTGATGTTTTGATACATACAATTTACAGTGATCAGATTAGGGTAACTGGTATATCCATCATCTCAAACATTTATCATTTCTTTGTGTTGGGTACCTCCAATATCCTCCTTCTGGCTATTTGAAACTATATATTATTGTTAATATAGTCATCCTGAGTGGTATAGTACACTAGAAGTTATGTCTCCTATCTAGCTGTAATTTTATATCCTGCCCTCTTAAATTTAAAGTATACAAATAATGTTGACTATGGGTACAAAGTTATACAGTAGACTTCTAGCTTATTTACCTTGCTTAACTGGAATTTTATGCCTTTTACTATTAACTCCCCGTTTTCCCCTCCTCACAATCCCCAGCAACCACAATTCTACTATTTGACTCTATGAATTAGACTATTTTAGATACTTAATATAAGTGGAATCATGTAGCATGTGGCTTTCTGTGACTGGCTTATTTCACTTAGTGTAATGTCCTCAAGCTTCATCCATGTTGTCACATATTGCAGAATTTTCTTTTTTTTTTTTTTAATATACTTTAGGTTTTAGGGTACATGTGCACAATGTGCAGGTTAGTTACATATGTATACATGTGCCGTGTTGGTGTGCTGTACCCATTAACTCGTCATTTAGCATTAGGTATATCTCCTAATGCTATCCCTCCCCACTCCCCGCACCCCACAACAGGCCCCGGTGTGTGATGTTCCCCCTCCTGTGTCCATGTGTTCTCATTGTTCAATTCCCACCTATGAGTGAGAACATGCGGTGTTTGGTTTTTTTGTCCTTGCAATAGTTTGCTGAGAATGATGGTTTCCAGCTTCATCCATGTCCCTACAAAGGACATGAACTCATCCTTTTTTATGGCTGCATAGTATTATGGCTATTGTGAATACTGCTGCAATGAACATGGGAATGTTAATATAACTTCAAGATGCTAATTTCTGTTCTTTTGTATAAATATTCTGAGTGGGATTGCTGGATCATATAGTAGTTCTTTAATTTTTTGATAAATCTCCTTATTGTTTCCATAATGGCTGCACTATCATACATTCCCACCAATAGTGTACAAGGGTTCCCTTTTCTCTACATCCTCACCAACAATTATTACCTTTTAAAAAATAATAACCGGGTCAGGTGCAGTGACTCACGCCTGTAATCCCAGCATTTTGGGAGGCCGAGGTGGGTGGATCACGAGGTGAGGAGATCGAGACCATCCTGGCTAACATGGTGAAACCCTGCCTCTACTAAAAATACCAAAAAAATTAGCTGGGCGTGGTGGCGGGTGCCTGTAGTCCCAGTTACTTGGGAGGCTGAGGCAGGAGAATGGCGTGAACCCAGGAGGGGGAGCTTGCAGTGAGCCGAGATGGCGCCACTGCACTCCAGCCTGGGCAACAGAGTGAGACTCCGTCTCAAAATAATAATAATAATAATAACAACCACCATTCTAACAGGCATGAGATGATATCTCACTGTGATTTTGACTTGCATTTTCCTGGTGTCTAGCGATCTTCAGAATTTTTTTGTATATGTGTTGACCATTTGTATGTCTTCTTTGGGAAAATGTTTATTCATGTTTTCTGATCATTTTCTGTTTTTTTCTGACCATTTTTTGCTTTTTTCTATTTACTTGTAGGAGTTCCCTGAATATTGGATATTAATTCCTTATCAGATATATAGTTTGCAAATATTTTCTTCATTCCATAGGTTGCCTTTTCATTCTACTGTTTATTTATTTGGCTTTGCAGAAGCATGTTAGGTTGATGTAGTCACATTTATTTATTTTTGGTTTTGCTGTCTGTGCTTTTGATGGTATATCCATAAAATCATTGCTAAGGCCAATGTCAGAAAGCATTTCCTCTATGTTCTAGGGGTTTGATAGTTTCAAGTCTTGTGTTTAAGTCTGTTTTGAGTTGATTTTTGTGTCTGTGTAAGATAAGGGTACAATTTCATTCTTTCGCATCCAGTTTCCTCAGTGCCTCTTATGGAAGAGACTCTCTTCTCCCCATGTGTATTTTTGACAATCTTGTCCAAAGATCCGTTGAACATATATGTATTGATTTATTTCTGGGGTTCTCTATTCTGTTTCATTGAGATACAGATACCCACACATATGCACATACACATATACATAGGCATATACATACATATATACACATAAATACATGCATATCCATGTCTGTCTTTATGCCAGTACCATACTGTTTTGATAACTATAGCTTTGTAATATATTTTGAAGTTGGACAGTATAATGCTTCCAGCTTTGTTTTTTCTCAAGATTGCTTGGTCAATTAATAGTCTTTTGTAGTTTCATATGAATTTTGTACTTGTTTTTTCTATTTCTGTAAAATATACCATTAGAATTTTGATAGGGTTTCTTTGGATCTATACATGTTGCTTTAGGTACCGTGTACATTTTAACAATATTAAGAGTTTCAATCCATGAACACAGAATGTCTTAGTATTTGTGACTTGTTTAATTTCTTTCATCAGTGTTTTGCAGTTTTCAGTATACAAGTCTTTCACTTCTTTAATTAAGTTTATTTTATTCTTTTTGTTGCTATTGTAAATTGGATTGTTTTCCAATTTTTAAAAGATAGTTTGTTAGTGTATAGAAATGCAACTGATTTCTATATTGATTTTTGTATCCTTCAACTTTACTGAATTCTTTGATTAGTTCTAAGAGCTTTTTTTTCCCGAAAAAAAATGGAGTCTTTAGGGTTTTCTACATAGAAGATCATGCTGTCTTTAGACAGGGACAATTTCATTTCCTTTCTAGTTTGTATGCCTTTTATTTCTTTTCCTTGTTCTTGCTAGGACTTCCAGTGCTATCTTGAATAGAAGTGGTAAGAGTGGACATCCTTGCCTTGTTCTTAATCTCGGAGGCAAAGCTTTTAGTTTTTCACCATTGAGTTTGTTGTTAGCTCTGAGATTTTCCTAGATAGCTTTTACTATGTTGAGATAATTTTCTTGTTTTGTTGGAAGTTGCTATGGTGAAAAGGTATGAAATTTTGTCGATGCCTTTTTTGTATCTTTTGAGCTGCTCATGTAATTCTTATCCTTCATTCTGTTTATGGGCATATCACATTAAGTTTCATATGTTGAACCATCCTTGCATTCCAGGGATGAATCTCACTATGCCATAATGTATGGTCCTTTTAATGTTATTGAATTCAGTTTGTTAGTATTTTTGTTTACAATTTTTGAATCTGCTTATCAAGGATATTGGCCTGTAGTTTTCTTTTCTTGTGGTGTTTTTGTCTGGTTTTGATATCAGAGTAATTCTGATCTCATAAAAATATTGGAAGTGGCTTCTCTTTAACTTTTTGGAAGAGTTTAAGAAGGATTGGCATTAATTCTTCTTTAAAGGTTTGGTAGAATTTACCAGTGAAGCCATTAGGTCCTGGCTTTTCTTGGTTGGGAGGTATTTTATTATAATCAAATCTTTGTAATAGTTATGGGCCTGTTCCAACTTTCTATTTCTTCATGATTTAGTCTTGATAGGTTGTGTGTTTCTAGAAATTTATTTAAATTTATTAAAATTATTAAAATAACATTTCTTTAAAAGGTTATCCAATTTGTTGAAGTATAATTGTTCATGCAATCCATTTTAACCCTTTTCATTCCTATGGGATAATGTCTCATTAATTTTTAAATTTTATTTATTTGAGTCCTCTTTTTCCTAGTCTAGCAAAGTTTTGTCCATTTTATTTACCTTAAAAAAAAACAATTTTTAGTTTCAATGATTTTGTTTTTCCTTTTTGTGTTTTGTATATATTGTGTTAATATTTATTATTTCCTTTCTTCTGCTAACTGTGAGCATAGTTCTTTTTCTAGTTTCTTTTGTGTAAAGTTAGGTTGTTTAATTGAAAATTTTATTTATTATTTCAATAGTTTTTTGGAAACAGGTGTTTTTTTTGTTACACGGGTAAGTTCTTCAATGGTGATTTCTGAGATTTTGGTGCACCCATCACCCAAGTAGTGTATACTGTACCCAGTGTGTAGTTTTTTATTCCTCACACCAGTTCCCTCTGAATCTCCAAAGTCCCTTACATCATTCTTGTGCCATTGCATCCTCATACCTTAGCTCCCACTTGTGACAATATACAATGTTTGGTTTTCTATTCTTGAGTTACTTCACTTAGAATGATGGTTTCCAACTCCATTCAGGTTGCAGTAAATGCCATTATTTCATTCCTTTTTGTGCCTGGATAGTATTCCATGGTATAGATATATACCACATTTTCCTTATCCTCTCATTTGTCGATGGGCATTTAAGCCAGTTCCATATTTTCCCAATTGTGAATTGTGCACTATAAACATGCAGGTGAAATGTCTTTTTTATATAATGATTTTTTTCCCTCTGGGTAGATACTCAGTAGTGGGATTGCTGGATCAAATGGTAGTTCTACTTTTAGTTCTTTAAGGAATCTCCATACTATTTTCCATAGTGGTTGTACTAGTTTACATTCCCATCAGCATGTAAAAGTGTTCCTTTTCTACCACAATGATGCCAACATCTATTATTTCCTGATTTTTTAATTACAACCATTCTTGCAGGAGTAAGGCAGTAGTGCATTCCGGTTTTCTCTATTAGTGATGTCGAGTATTTTTTGGCCATTTTTATATCTTCTTTTGAGAATTGACTATTCATGTTCTTAGCCCATTTTTTGATGAGACTACTTGTTTTTTTCTTGCTGACTTGTTTGCGTTCCTTATAGATTCTGGCTATCAGACCTTTGTCAGATGCATAGTTGTAAATATTTTCTCCTACTCTATGGATTGGCTGTTTACTCTGCTGATTATTTCTTTTGCTGTGCAGAAGCTTTTTAGTTTAATTAGGTCCTATCTATTTATCTTTGTTTTTGTCACATTTGCTTTTGGGTTCTTGGTCATGAACTCTTTGCCTAACCCAATGTCTAGAAGAGCTTTCCTGATGTTATCTTCTAGAAATTTCATGGTTTCAGGTCTTAGATTTAAGTGTTTGATCCATCTCAAGTTGATTTTTGTAAAATTTTCTTCATTTTTAATGTAGGCATTTATCTCAATAAACTTTCCTCTTAATAATGTTTTTGCTGCATCCCATAAGTTTGATGTTTTGTTTTCATTTTCTTTCGGGTATTTTTTTCTAATTTCCATTTTGATTTTTTCTTTAACTGAATAATTCTTCAAGGATGTGTTGTTTAATTTCCACATATTTGAGGATTTTTCAGTTTTCCTTTTGGGATAGGTACTTCTAGTTTTATTCCATTGTGGCCGTAAAAATATAATTTAAACCTTCTTAAATTTGTTAAGATTTGTTTTGTGACATGTGATCTTTCATGGAGAAGGATTCATGTGCAGTTGAGATGAATATGTATTCTGCTGCTGTTGGGTGGAATACTCTGTATACATATGTTCAGTCCATTTGGTGTATAGTATTGTTTAAATCTTCTGTTCCCTTACTGGTCTTCTCTCTGGTTGGTCTATTGAAAGTAGGTTATTGACATCTTCTATATTATTGCATCACTCTATATTTTTCCTTTCATATCTGTCAAGGTTTCCTTTATCTAGTAGATTCTCTGATGTTGGGTACATATATATTGTTCTATCTTCCTAGTGCATTTACTCTTTTCTCATTACAAAATATCCTTCTCTCTGTATCCTGCAACAGTCTTTTAGTTAAACTAAATTTTGTTTTATGTATATCTAGACACTCCTGCTCTCTTTTGGTTAGCATTTGCATAAAATAAGTTTTTTTCATTATCTTTTCACTTTTAGCCTTTGTGCATCCTTAAATCTAAAATGGGTTTGTTTTACACAACATATAATTTAGTCTTGCTTTTTTTTAAAAAAATTAAATCATCCTATGTCTTTTGATTGAGGAGTTTAATCCATTTACATTTAAAGTATTCACTGATAGGAAAGTATTTATTATTGCCATTTAGTTAGGTTTTTCCCTGTTAGTCTTGTAGTTGTTTTGGTATTATTCCCTTTTTCTGCTGTCTTTCATTGTTTGTTGATTTTTTTGTAATGATATGTTTTGATTCCTTTCTTTTCTCTTTTGTGTAAGCTCTAAGGTCTACAAGTACTTTATTTTTTGTGGTTATCTTGAAGTTTACATAAAATATCTTATAACAGTTTATTTTAAGCTGATAACAACTTCAGTTCAATTGCATCCAATCTCTGCAGTTCAACTTTTCCCCACAGGTTTTATTATAACAATCTGTATTTATTCATACTATGTTTCTTTTAATATATTTTAGTTATATTTCTAATACTTTTGTCTTTTAAATTTATATTAAAATTGAGAATGATTTACTTACCACTACTACCATAATATGGTACTTCTTTCTATATTTCTTTATCTTAACCAATGAATTTCATGCTTTCTATACCGTCATTTTCTTTTCATGTTAACTTGAAGAACTTCCATTAGAATTGCTTGTAAGGCAGGTCTAGTGGTAATAAACTCCCTCAGCTTTTGTTTGCCTGGAAAAGCCTTCATCCCTTTTTTCTTCTGTCTGAGAGTTAGTCAGACATAGCATTTTTGGTTGACAGGGTATTTCTTTATCTTTTTTTTTTCTTTTAGCATTTTAAAATTATGTCTTTGACTTTTGACCACTTGATTTAATGTGTTTTGCTGTGAACTTTTTTAGTTCCTCTTATTTGGTGTCCTTTGGGCTATTTGGATCTGAAGTCCATTTTCTTCCCTAATTTGTGTGTTTTTCAGCTATTATTTATTTAAATATTTTTTTGATCCTTTGTCTTCTCCTCTGGAATTCACCTAATGCATATATTGGTCCACTTGGTGTACAATAACTTTCTCAAGCTTTCTTTACTCTTTTGTATTCTTTTTCCTTTTTCTCCTCTAACTGAATTATTTCCAGTGTCTTATCCTATAGGATTTATCTTCTTTCTTTCTTTGGAACATCTTTGACTGATTCTTTATTTTCCTTGACTCTCTGTGTTAGTGTCTGGGAATTAGACAAAACAGGCATCTCACTCAGTCTCACAGACTTGTACAGAGAAAATCCCCATCAATTAACTCAGCCAGAGATTTTAGGAGCCTCTATGTATTCTTTTTCTCCCCAGGGAAAAGCAGACAGTTGTGGATTTTTCCTGCTTGCTCTTTTCTCTGCCAAGAGCAAGGACAATCCATGGTTTCTATCAGCCCATGCTGCCATTTTTATTATCCTCTGTGTGGCTAGAATGTGCCAGACCTGTAAGAGCTCAAAAACTGGCAAGAAAGATGCTAGTTCTTTGGGCAGCCCTGGAGAAGGTGGGCTATTGGTTACACAAATTAGCTCTTACTCTCTCTAGGGGAGAACTGAGAGCTGTGATTTTCATCTGTTTTCTTTGTGCTAAGCAGCAGGGAGGATCATTGGCATTTACCAGCTCAATCTGCTGCCTCTGTTCTCTCCCAGGTAGCTGGACAGTACTGGACCCATCACAATTTCAATACTGGGAAGAGAAAAGCCAGTCCTCTGGGGAAAGATGAAGCACTGGACCTACAAACTAACTACTTTCAACCCCTGGATGAATCTAGGAGGTAGGGTATCTCTTTTTGATTATATGGTACTGCACTGGGGAAGAGTCTCTGATAAGAGGACTGTTCTGAATCTCCTTTGGCCTGAGTGAGTGTTTTCACACTTGACCAAGTTGCAGGAGCCTTTTAATTCATTTCCTATTTCTCATAAAGGGAATTTGTCCATGTATTGTCGGTGAATTCAGCTTGGTTGTGGGGTGGAGGGTCCAAAGCTTCCTACTCCATCATCTTGCTCACGTGTATTTCCAAAAGATGATGTCTCAGTGTTCAAGTAAGTATTAAATCATAACTTCCATCATATCACTAAACTCAAACAGTATAATTGAGCTTTGTATACAAAATGTTATGGAGTTGAGCCTTTTGTAAAGTTTTAAAATTTAAGATAATAGTAATATATTTATACACAGATGAAAGAAATCAAAGGAAGTAACACAAGTACTTATAATGAAAAACTACAGTCCTCTGCCCTCATGGAATGTGTCTTGCTCTCTAGGAGGACTGCTTTTTAATTATTATTTTTGGGTTTATATCCATGTCTGTGACTTTATTTTACTTTTTCTTTCACAGATCAAGAAAAGGTTCTCTTACATTTTCAGCTCTTCTTATGCCTTCCTTCCTATATGTGTTTATCACTATTTCTAGTTTCTTGGATATTTTGCATTGTAACTTAAGGTGATACACATATATTTATTTATTGCTTTATTTCTTCAATCTCTACTTAGTCAGGGAATGTGTTTAATCACTGATTTTTTTCAACACTCCTCCTTCTTCCCATCTCTTGTCTTTTTGCTATCAACATACTATATTTGTTGACTTTTAAAATTAATCAAGTAATACATGACCTCTATTATTTATGTTTTCTTAGAAAATATAAAACTTTGTTTTGGGTATTTTAATTTTTTTCTATGGTTCTTTAACTTCTTATGTCACTCTGTAACTTATTTTTTACACTGAATAGTATGTTTTAGGTACCTGTCTAACTTACTGAATATGGAACTATAAATTTTTTCCTGCTCTAGTAAATATAGCATGCTTATATGGTGTTGTTTCCGAGTTGACAAATATTTATATCACTTTCATTTTTATGTTATAAAAATGCTGCAATTAACACCAGCATACAGAGTCTTTTGCATTTGTGTACCTGTTTTTCACAGATATGAAAAATGGAATAGCTGAGGCATGGATCAAGCAAGGATAAGCACATATTAAGCTGTTAACAGATATTGCCAAATTTTGTTTATATTTTGTTAAGAAATTTTTGTTTATGTTCATGAACATTTTGCCTATGTTTAAATAATTTTTTGACTGTTCTGAGCTTATTGCAGCAGAGGTAGTAATTTAACTTTTTCAAACTGGTTGCTAAGGAGGTTGTAAGTAGACTACTGTTGTCATATGTTGTCTCCCTATTGGCAGTTGGTGTATTCAGTCTCACAGCCCTCCCTCTGTGTCATTATCTCATTTCTAAGAGATTGACCAATACAGGGAACGCTGAAAATCAAGATCTTCACCACTTAAAAGTTGTTCAGTTTTCTCCCTAGTCATTTGAATTGTAGATCTTGATTTTTTGTTGTTATGTCACCACGGTGATCATTTAATTAGAGAACAGCTGCACAGAAGCATTTAAAACTCTGAATAGAATGCACCAAACCAGCATCATGACCACTATGAGGAAAATAAAAACAGTAGTTTCTCTGGGATTTCAGAACCAGGAACTCTAATTGCCTAACTCAGACTAAAAGAGCAAATCCTGTAGGCCATGAAGTTTAACCTTAGCCAAGTAGCTTTTCCCTACCTTGTCTGTTTCATTGATTCAGATACAGCAAGGAGTATTTGCGATGGGACAGGCATCATCATTACTAGCCAACAAGAAAATCTTAAGCAATGTGACTGTACATCAGTACTTATGCCCAATAAATTGAGACTGATCTGTATTCCATTTAGGGAAGAAGTAGAATCATTAGTGACTTATGACAGAGTTAGTGATGGTTTCTTACAGTGTTTTTTTCTATTTTTATGATTCCTATTTTGGGGAATACTGCTATGATCATTTGCATAAATGATGAATTAGTAATTCCCCCAGGTTGAGTGCCCAAATAATCAAGGATAATCCTGTTTTGAAACTTGTATCTGAATTAGAATTTCCAGCATTGGTGATTTACAGAATAAAGGCTTCTGCATACAGACAAAACTTGGAATAGTTTTCCTAAATTGCATGAAGTGTTAGTCTGGGGCAAACAGAACCACCCTGGAAAAAGGTAGTATCCAATGGCTCCATGAAGAACCAGGAAAATAACTAGTTTTTAATAACATGAGGTCAGAACTGAGGCCTTATGTTAGCTAGGTTATATATTTAAATCTTTATGAGTCTCTTCCTGGTGACAAGCAATTTGTCCACTGCTCTAGAAAGATTTTTGAGAATTACCTATGATATGATCAATAGATTGTAATAATTGGTTCTTTTTCCGGGAAAGAGGAACACTAGCAAAATAATAGGTTGATTTTTAGAAAAGTCATTTGTCTATATAGGTGTAATTTATTCTGCTTTTTATAATAAGTACATAATGATAGCATTATTTGGCTGTAATTCCTTTTGGTTTCATTTGATGAAAACAGAATTATCCAGAGGGTTTTATAATTGGGGTCTGGTGATGAAAGGTGTACCCAGCATTTGGTAAATTGGCAGTGGCTATTCTTTGGAGTAAGTTAAGAGTGACATTAGACGTTAGAATTAGTACGTTCTGACCTAGCTATTATAATACAGAAAGAGAAAGAGGATTATGGGTGTACAACAGCCAGATATTAATAAAATAATAAGAATTATTATAACCAATCAGACAGAAAATCAGGAGTCTGAGTCTGATATCTTGGGCAGAAGTTGTCCACTAAACAAGGTCCTCTGCTTGTTTCAAAGATCATCTGTCTAATTCAAAATATCAGATGCTTCTAGAAGATCTTCGAGAAACCTGAATTTGAGGCTCTCTATTGGAATTATGTTCTAATTCTATAGAGTTCTGGATTGTTGTGAAACATGACTTGAGTTTCACTATACTGTTGTTAACAATGCTAACAGTACTTCCAACAGGGTTTAAGAGGATTTTTTCTGTTTTTGTTTTTTTTAGGTTTTTTTTTTTTTTTTAGTAGATGAAATCTCCAGTTGAAGAGCATATAGAGGCTGTTTAAGAGGCTGTGGGAGGGCAGCCTTAATCTGTTGGTGATAGGTATAGTACATGTGTCTCTCACAATTCTTTGCCATGTCTCTGTGCAGAAGGGAGGAGTCTAATAACAGGATGAATTCCCTAAACACATGGTGTATTGTGAGACCTAAAATTTCAAGTGTTGCCTTCATATTTTTGAGCCTCACAGGGCCCTAAAAGCCTAGGTCTGTATTCCCCTGCTCTTGTCAGGTATGCTCTCCATGTGGTGGGAAAGGACCCACACTTGGCTGATTTTCCTATTAGCTGATCAAACTGCAGCCCCCCCTAATTCTCAACGTAATGAGTTTCACCTCCTTGCATGTCTGTGAAATTATTCAAGCCAGTTATAGCCTCCTGTAAGAACCAAGGGTCACCTAATGCTCTTGTTACTACAAAGCCTGCTTCCCACAGTCCCAGCTGTTTCATTGTATTCCCAAGCACAGTTCAGCCACCATGTGGCCCTGGTGGCATCCTCATTCTCTCAGGCTATGAGTATATGTGACTAATAAAGTGCTACAATTCTCATCCTTCCAGTGCTGGGTATTATGTGTTCAGCCGTCTCATACTATTTGGGGTGAGAACTCCCTCCTTCACCAATGGGATGAATAAGAGGTGATCAGAACACACGGGCCTTCCAATTACCAGTTAGTGGTTGGTAACTGTGTGTCCCTAAGGGCTATTAGGGATAGTGGGAGTAACATTAGTAAGGATGCTTAAGGGTTTCTGGGAGTTTGGCAGATTTTAAGGATGCCATTATTTTTTTCAAACTTTGCAGATGATTGTGGTTAATAAGGGTAGTGTAATTTTTGCATACAAAGCGAATCATTACAGAGTCCTTTTATGATGATTCCTGCAAAGTATGAGCCTCAATCACTTGATATAAAAGTTGGTATGCCCCAGGTTGGAAGCACAAAATCAGTTAGATTTTTAGTGACTGTGAGGGCTACAGCTTTTGGGCAAGTAAGAAAGCTACAATAATACCCAGAACCTGTTCTTGAGGATGGAAGCTGGATAAGATCCACCTGAAAGCATTCAAAGGACCCTTACAACTTTGATTTCTACTCCACCTCGGCACTTTCTCCAGTGTCATGTTGTTAACAGGTGATACATAACACAACAAATAATCTTGCCTGTCTTTTTAATGTTTCCCCAGAAGTGTTGATTTAGGACAATAACCAATTTATCTGCACCATGATGGGTAGTTTCATCAATAGATTTAGCTAACATTCATTTGAAATTATCTGATGCTACCAAATGGCCATCTTGAGATACCCAGATATTATCAAAGTGAGGGCACAGCCAAATTTTTTCCATTTTTTCCTTTTCAGAATCAGGGGCTAAGCATTTATATGTTATAAACAACCTCTTTGTTGTTTATTTACATTTATTTTAGGTTCAGGGTTACATGTGCAGTTTTGTTAATATAGGTAAATTGCTTGTTATGGAGATTTGGTGTACAGATTATTTTGTCACCCAGGTAATAAGAATAGTACCCAATAGGTAGTTTTTTGAACCTCACCCTCTTTTCTCCCTCTACCTTCAAGTAGGGCCTGGTGTCTCTTTTTCCCTTCTTTGTGTCTATATGTACTCAATATTTAGCTCCCACTCACGGGAATATGTGGTGTTCGATTTTCTGTTCCTGTGTTACTTTGCTTAGAATAATGGCCTTCAGATGTATGTTGCTGCAAAGGACATGATCTCATTCTTTTTTGTGGCTGCATAGTATTCCACGCTGTATATGTACCATATTTTCTATATCAAATCTACTGTTGAATGGGCGTTAAGGTGATTTCATGTATTTGCTATTGTGAATAGTGCTATGATGAACATGCACATGGCTGTGTTTTCATGGTAGAGCAATTTATATTCCTTTGAGTATATGCCCAATAATGGGATTGCTGGGGTTGAATGGTAATTCTGCTTAGAGTTAATTGAGTAATTGCCAAACTGCTTTGCACAATGGCTGAACTAATTTACACTCCCATCAGCAGTGTATAAGTGTTCCCTTTTCTCCGTAGCCTCACCAGCATATTTTTTTTTTACTTTTAAAAAATAGCCCTCTCACTGGTTTGAGATGGTATCTCATTGTGGTTTTGATTTGCATTTCTCTAATGAGGGGATGTTGAATATTTTTTCATGTGTTTGTTGGCCACATGTATGTCTTTTGTTTTTATTTTATTTTATTTTATTTTATTATTATTATACTTTAAGTTTTAGGGTACATGTGCACAATGTGTAGGTTAGTTACGTATGTATACAAGCCACATGTATGTCTTTTGAAAAGTGTTCATGTACTTCGCCTACTTTTTAATGTGGATTTTTGCTTGTGAATTTAAGTTCTCTATAGGTTCTGAATATTAGACCTTTGTCAGATACATAATTTGCAAATACTTTCTCCCATTCTGCAGGTTGTCTGTTTACTTTGTTGATAACTTATTTTGCTGTGCAGAAACTCTTTAGTTTAATTAGGTCCAACTTGTCAATTTTTGCTTCTGTTACAGTTGCTTTTGGCATCTTTGTTATGAAATATTTGCCAGGTCTGATGTCCAGAATGGTATTTCCTAGGTTATCTTCCAGGGTTTTTATAGTTTTAGGTTTCATAGTCAAGTCTTTAATCTGTCTTGAGTTGATTTTTGTATGTGATATAAGAAAGGAATATAGTGTCAATCTTCTGCATATGCTAGGCAGTTATCCCAGCACCTTTATTGAGTAGGGAATCATTTCCTCATTGCTTGCTTTTGTCAACTGTATTGAAGATCAGATAGGCGTATGTGTTTGAAATTATTTCTGGGATCTCTGTTCTGTTCCAGTGGTCTCTGTGTCTGTTTTTGAACCAGTTCCATGTTGTTTTGGTTTCTGTAGCCTTGGAGTATAGTTTGAAGTTGAATAATGTGATGTGTCCAGCTTTGTTCTTTTTGCTTAGGATTGCCTTGGCTATTTGGGCTTCTTTTTGGTTCCATATGAATTTTAAAATAGTTTCTTCTAATTCTGTGAAGAATGTCTTTGGTATTTTCAAAGGAATAACATTGAATATGTAAATTGGTTTGGCTAATATGGCCATTTTAATAGTATTCTTCCTGTCCCTGAGCATGGAATGTTTTTCCATTTGTGTCATCTCTGATTTCTTTGAGCAGTATTGTGTAATTTGCATTGTAGACGTCTTTTGCCTCTCTGGTTAGCTGTATTCCTAGGTATTTTATTCTTTTTGTGGCTATCGTGACTAGGATTGCACTCTTGATTTGGCTATCAGCTTGTGTGTTGGTGGTGTATAGGAATGCTACTGATTTTGTACATTGTTTTTTATCAGTAAACTTTTCTGGAGTTGTTTATCAGATCAAGGAGTTTTTAGGCAGAGATTATGGATATTTATAGATATAGAATAATCTGTAAACAGGGATGGTTTGACTTCCTCTCTTCCTATTTGGATGTCTTTTATTTCTTTCTCTTGCCTGTTTTTGCTGACCAGAACTTTTAGTACTGTGTTGAATAGGACTGATGAAAGAGGGTATCCTTGTCTTGTTCCAATTTTCAAGGGGATTGTTTGCAGCTTTTCCCATTCAGTATGGTGTTGGCTGTGGGTTTGTCATAGAAGATGACTCATTATTTTGAGGTATGTTCCTTCAATACCTTGTTTATTGAGCGTTTTTAACATGAAGAGAGGTAGAATTTTATCAAAAGCCTTTTCTGCATCTATTGAGATAATCATGTGGCTTTTGCTTTTAATTCTGTTTATGTGATGAATCACATCTATTAATCTGCGTATGTTGAATCAACCTTCCAGCCTAGGGATAAAGCCTACTTGATCACGGTGGATTAGCTCTTTGATGTGCTGCTGGATTCAGTTTGCAAGTATTTTGTTGAGGATTTTTGCATCCATGTTTATCAAGGATATTGGCCAGAAGTTTTCTTTTTTTGTGTGTGCGACTCTGCCAGGTTTTGGTGGTATCAAGATGATGCTGACCTCATAGAATAACTTAGGGAGGAGTCCCTTCTCCTTAATTTTTTGAACTTGTTTCAGTAGAAATTGTACCAGCTCTTATTTATGTATCTAGTACAAGTCAGTGCAAGTCAGCTGTGAATCCACCTGGTTATGGGTTTCTGGTTGGTAGGCTTTTTATTACTGATTCAATTTTGGGTCTTGTTATTGGTCTATTTTGGGATTTAATCTTGGGAGGTTGTAGATTTCCAGGAATTTATTAATTTTGTCTAGGTTTTCTAGCTCATGTGCATAGAGGTGTTTGTAGTAGTCTCTGACGATTTTTTGTTTCTATGTGGAGTCAATGGTAACATCTCTTTTGTCATTTCTGACTGTGTTTTGGATCTTTTTTTTTCTTTATCAGTCTTGCTAGTGGTCTATGTATCTTATGAATTCTTTAAAAAAAACCAATACCTGGATTCGTTGATCTTCTGTACGATTTTTCACAGCTCAGTCTCCTTCAGTTCAGCTCTGATTTTGGTTGTTTCTTGTCTTCTGCTAGCCTTACAGTTGGTTTGCTTTTGTTTCTTGAGTTCCTACTTGTGATCTTAGGCTGTTAACTTGAGATCTTTCTAACTTTTTGATATGGGTGTTTAGTGCTACACACTTCTCTCATAATACTGATTTAGCTGCGTCCCAGAGATTCTGGTATGTGGTATCTTTTTTCTCATTAGTTTCAAAGAACATCTTGATTTCTGCCTGAATTTCATTATTTGCTCAAAAGTCACTCAGAAGCTGATTGTTTAGTTTCCATGTAATTGTATGATTTTGAGCAATTTTCTTAGTAATGATTTCTATTTTTATTGCACTGTTGTCCAAGGGTGTGATTGGTATTTTTTTTTTTAAATTGGAGGATTGTTTTATGTCAGTTGTGTGGTCAACCTTAGAGTATGTATCATGTGCAGAGAGAAGAATGTCTACTCTGTTGTTATCCCTCCAGAGATTCATACTTTAGGGATTTAGTTAGAATTATTACCTCGAGGCTGTCTTACTGGCACAATAACCTGCTAGAGTATGTCTTTTAGCTTCTTTCCTTTTCTTTTTTCTTTTTTGGCATGGGCCTCAACTTTTATAATAGCTGTTTGTCTAGGAGGTGATAATGCAACTAAAAGTTCTACAACTTGTCCTTTCTTTACAAGTGGATGTACAACCCCAATTATTTTCAAAGCCTCCCCACATGTTGGTTTAGAAGCATACCTGTTGTCTGTATGTATGTTGACTCTCTGGTCTTTGGTTTATTGAGAAGCTCTTTATCATGTGCAACAAGTTAACAAGTTTTGCCATCTGAGATGAGTTTATTCCAGGTAGAGATCTATATTTTAAAGGACAACTTAAACAAGTGATAGAGTGTTCTTGATAGTTTCTCATTTAATTTTTGAGGCACGATCCAACAACAGGTAATATTAGGTTAGGATTCAAACTACATGAGTCGCTAATAAATCTAATTAAGTTACAGAAAGTTCCTTAGCTGAAGCAAGATAATTAAGAGGTTCCCTGCCTTTTGTTAGGGTCAGGAGAGTGGCAGGATTCAGCTGTGAACAGTATGTGAAATAGAGTAGCAGCATCTCAGCAGAGGTTGATGGCTGGATGAAAGTGTTGCATGCCCTCAGTTACTAGTAATGTCTGTACTGAATGAAGAGCTGTTAGATTATGTGGGGGAACCTAGAGCTAGTCCAACAGAAGCTACAGCATTTTTCCTTTTTTTGAGACGGCGTCTCACTCTGTCACCTAGGCTGGAGTGCAGTGGTGCGATCTCGGCTCACTGCAAGCTCCACCTCTGGGGTTCACGCCATTCTCCCGTCTCAGCCTCCCGAGTAGCTGGGACTACAGGCGCCCACCATCAGGCCTCGCTAATTTTTTGTATTTTGAGTAGAGACGGGGTTTCACCGTGTTAGCCAAGATGGTCTCGATTTCCTGACCTCATGATCCGCCCACCTCAGCCTCCCAAAGTGCTGGGATTACAGGCGTGAGCCACCGTGCCTGGCTGCTGCAGTAATTTTTACAGTATAAGTTATTTCTCTAAGACCACAGGGTTAAGACTTTGCAACTGGGTCTAGGACGTTTTAGAAAGAGATGGGTTTTTGAGGGTTCTTATAAGTGAAACCTAGAAGAGATTGTCCATATGGCTTATATACAAATGGACAAAAGAGTGTTTTATAGTTAGGGATGCCTATGGAAGAGGGGTCTATTGAAAGACTTCTGGCCAGGTGCAGTGCCTCATCCCTGTAATCCCAGCACTTTGGGAGGCCGAGGCGAGCGGATCATTTGAGGTCGGGAGTTTGAGACCAGCCTGACCAACATGGAGAAACCCAGTCTCTACTAAAAATACAAAAAAATTTAGCCAGGCGTGGTGGCACATACCTGTAATCCCAGCTACTTGGGAGGCTGAGGCAGGAGAATTGCTTGAACCCAGGAGGTGGAGGTTGCGGTGAGCCGAGATGTGCCATTGCCCTCCAGTCTGGGCAACAAGAGCAAAACTCCATCTCAAAGAAAAAAGAAAAAAGAAAAGCCTTCTATAGGTTATGAAAGGCCTTCTCATGCTTGAGTTCCTACTGAGGACTTAATCCATAAACAGGTAGCAATCTCAGAAAAAAATAATTGACCCTGCTGTCTGCAAAACCCAATTAAGCATGGAAATCTTCTTAATTGTTATTTTGTGAGGGGTCTAGGAAAAGTTGGTATTGTGTTTTGTCTATTAGGAGATAGTGATAATCCATTCTAAGTCTTTCCCTAAATAGTGCATTGAGTTTTTATGATATTAACTTACCTTTTTAAACACTGTTGTTGTTTTGCTAAGGCTAAGTGCAAGTAGATGGAATTGTTTTTACCGATTTCTTTTTTTGTGTTGTTCTCTAAACAAAGTGGGAGATTCACTACTTATTATATCACAAACTGAATCACAGGGAAATTTAGGTCTTTGAAGCTTCTACTGAGGACCTGGGACAAATAGGACAAGCTTCAGTGAACCCTGGGGACATGATCAATTCATATATATTGTTGCTCTCTGCAGATAAAGAAGGTATTGACCGTCTTGGTACAGGGGTACACAGAGCAAAGATCAATTAATATGGTGAAGCAAGTGGTTTCAGGTAGAATTGATGATAGGTATGTAATCAATTTAAGTACTACAGTAAATGAAGGGATAATAAGTTTGTTGATGGCCATGAGATTTCAAACAAACTAATATCCTTGTCCTTTTGGTTTCTTTAATGTCAGGGAGGGAAAGTTACAAGGGCTATTGTAGAGTATGAGAAGGCCTTTGGATATATGACCTTCAACTACAGGTGTGAGTCCATTGCTTCTGGCTTCAAGGAATATTGGGGAAATGTAGGTAACAACTTTGCAGGGTCTACCTGAATTTTAACGGGTTTTATTCTAGTTTACCTATGTCAGTGGAATTTTTAGCCCATAGAGTGAGGTGCGGTGCCAGTACTTCTATTTTTGACATGCATTAAATATAATAGAGAGGGCAAAGATATGCCCAGAACAGATACAACTTGATTATGAATAGAGGAGTCCTCTGGAACATCCATAAAGAGTCCTGCTGGTGTAGGTTTAATATTACAATTCCATTTGCAAAATCAGTCTTTCTCTGTTAAACTTGCAGGTGTGGTATCACAACGCAGGGAGGAATGTCTTTTAATCAAGGGCTCAAGGGTTAGAATTAAGGGCTGGGAGACAGGGAAAATCTGTGTTATCAGGAATACCTACCCCTTATTTGGCATGTTTATGCCTAAGATTGTGCAAAGGTGTCAGCATTTAACTGTAGAAAGAATAGCACTTCTATCTACCAGGAATTAATGAGGTTAATCACTGTATTTATAGTTAACTCATTTTGAGTGTTTAATTTTAAGACAAGATACTGGGTTATGTTTTTCCTTCCTTGGAGCGCTCTAGTTGAAGTAAACTGAGGGATTTTGTTTTGATTTGGTTTTTCTTTTGTCAGATGGAACGATATCTCTTCCAGTATCCCTTCGGTTTATAATATCTATAAATATCCTTGTTAATAAGTGTTTGGCTAGGAATTGGGCCAGTTAACTCTTAGATCTGCAGTGCCATAATGTTATTTTGGGTCCTGTTTTTATTTTTGTTTTACAGCTCTTCCAAAATGTTCTGTCAGGAGTTGTATGTGAATCACCATGATGAACATACTATAAATGAGCAAATATAAAGTGAAAAAGACACCATCTCTGTTTCCGGGGACCTTAAATATCTAATAGATGCATTGTAAACCTTAATTTGGGTTAAAATTTCCCCATAAAACTTTTTTTAATTCAAGGAAATGCATAATGGATACATAGATTGGGACCTTGATGAAGTTAGACTAAGCTTTAAAGGTAGGTTGATAGATCCAGTGATCAGAAAACGAGTCACATATTTAATATAAATGAGCATGTCCTTCATATGAAACACCTTATTAGGACCATAATATGTGCACTGTCAGGTGCATCCACTTATGTATTTTTTTTTACAAAGTATTTCATGCTTTAGATCTTCCTTTATTTCAGTGGTTTGTATCCATGGGTAATTTTGCTCCCTGAGGGATGTTTGACAATGTCTGGAGACATTTTTGGTATCACAACCAGGGGCAGAGGGATTGCTACTGATATCTGGAAGGTAGAGGCCAGGGATTCTGCAATGTACAGGACTCCTTCCCCTACTCCCTAATAAAGAATTATCTAGTCCAAAATATCAATAGGGCTAAGGTTGAAAAGCCCTTTGTTTAGCAAAGGTGATGGAATTCTGAAAGCAAATCCCTCAATTACCTATTTGTCAATGCCAAAAGGATAGCTTGTTAGTTGCTTAATTTCATACAACTGAGAATGGGGGCTGGACTGAGTGGGTCAAAGGGACCAGGAGTGGAATGAGGTGGGAAGATGGAAATGACTTCAACACTAATTTATTAACAGATATTTAATTCTTTGAAGTGGAGAACAGCTACTCAGTAGAACCCAGGTTACCATGGTAGCATGTGGCTTCAATCACTCCTGATTAATTTCTAGCAATTACAATAAATGGGAGCTTCTCTTAAATCTCTTGTAAGACTGAGAGAAACAGCATCAAATGAACCATTCTAAGAAGCAGAGTCTGATGCATTCAATTTTAAAATCTGGACTTTGTTTTAATCCCATGCCTGGCTCAGAAATGGCAATACTGTGGCTCTACACTGTGAGAGACTCCTTTCCATATGCTGCTGATAAAATGATTACCATTGGCATATCCCAACCATCTGCTCCTGGAATTCCAGATTGTAAAGGTGAAATTGACTTAGAGTTGCATCAAGGATACTGGAGATTGTTTTGTCTTTTTCATTCTATTAGTGTGCTGCTCATGTTTATTTTAAGCAGCTGAAACAGTAGCAAATAATCGTGCTAAATTTTCAATGCCTGTTTATTATGTATATTTATAACAGATTGTCAAATCCTGATAGGTGTTTACATCTTTGGTAGTGAGAGGTTGTTTCCATTTTAAAATGTTTTATTTATTGTTCAGATTTTGCAACAACTCAGGAAATAAAACATGTACAATACAACTATCTCTTTAATCAAATATATTCATTTTTAATATTCCATTCCAGTGTTGTTTATATAAATATATGAGGTAATACAATTTTGTATTATTCTTTTGCACCTACTCATAAGAAATTGGACTTTTTCCTTAGTTATAATCATTATTTTACACCTAAGGTGTTTCTTGAGTAGAATTTCTAAATCCTTCAGGGAAAATGCAAACAGTATTTGCTTCCAGTGTGGAGGACTAGATTGCCTCTCCTGAGTGAGGGTGAGATCCAAGCTGGCACTCCATCCTGCAGCATCGTGTACTGTACACATCCCAACACCTCTTATGAGGACCTGGGAGAGGAGCTTGGCAAATTGACTGTTTTTGTTAAACATACTTTCAAAAACTTCTATAATTTCTTAAACATGTACTAAGTGTCTGTTCTGTAACAGGCTCTGTGCTGTCATGAATACACAGGTGAACAAAAGACATGTACATGGGCCCTGCCATCTTGTTTACATTCTGCTGTGATAAAAGTGTGGGGCTCCGAGGGTGGATAAGCAGGGTGCTCTGGAAGAATGCAACAAGAACATCTGACTTAATCTCAGGGAAGTGTGTAACAGTCATGACCCTCACTCCTCAGAGCTAGATAAGGTAGCTGTGGATGTGCACCCACAGATCCTGCCCTGGCTTTTGTCCCTGTTCTAATTATACCACTGGTAAATAAACAATTTATTTTTTTTTATTTTCCTTTTGCTACATTCTCGCCACCTGCAAATTTCAGTTTCTACAAATTTTAGTTTCTGCAAATTTTGCCCCCTCAATTTCTGATCATTCCAACTCCTTGAAAAGGTCAGAGATTGAGTGTTCCCACTACAGAAAGGCTTTCTGACAAAGAACCTGGCTTAGATGGCCTATTAAATATATCAGAGATCCAGAGGTAACAAAATATTGTTAATTCAGACTTCATGAGTGTCTTAGTTCAGGCTGTTATAACAGAGTGCCGTAAACTAGGTGACTTATAAACAACAGAGATTTATTTCCCAGAGTCCTGGAGGCTGGAAGTGGGAGATCAGAGTGCCAGCATGGTCGGGCTCTGGAGACAGTAAGTGAGGGGTGCCTCACTTACTCAGCCCACAGCTCTCAACCCCTTGTGGGTAGGGGTGCATGCAGGTGAGCATGTTCAGGAGCCGGGGCAAGCGCTTCTGGGCACCAGCAGGAGCAAAACTCAGTGCGGGCCCATGGCAGCATCTGGGAGGGGATTATCTGTGACCCCCGAAGCCCCAGCGGGTGTATGTTACTGTGGGCTCTTTCAGCTTTGCCTTCCGTGGATGCCTTAAGTGTTCAACAGCTCACTGGCCCTCTGTCTTTTTGTGTGAGGCAGTAGCTCTCTGTCAGGGAGGACAGAGGGTCAGTGTGACAGCCTTAGTGCTCCCGTGGTACTCGAGCTCTTTTTCAGTGTCTAGGAAAAATCAGATTGCATAAACGAAATGAAGGATAGGAAACACAGGGGATTTTATTGCTGATGGAAGTGGCTATCAGCTGGAAAGGGGATGGTGTGGGAAGGTATTCTTCCCCTGAAGTCCTGCCATCAATGAAGTCAAGCTGCTTCTTTCTGACGTTCAGCTGCTTCTACTCTTCTCCCTCTCTCTGCTCTCTGCCAGTGGAGCCTGAGTTTTTATGGGTGCAGGATGGGTGGTGGGGTGGACCAGGGTTGGTTTTGGAAAATGCAACATGTGAGTGGGAAAACGGATATAAAGTTCTCACTTTGGGCCTCAGTTTCAGGCTTGAGGGTGGGGATTCGCCAGGGACCCTGCCCTTCTGCCTAGAATTTTCCTGCCTCCTGTCCCTATCAGTTCCATCGCTAGTCCCATTCTGATCTCATGACTTAATTACCTCCTAAAGCCCCTCCCCCAACTTCTTAATACCATCACATTAAGGGCTAAGATTTCAATATATAAATTTTGGGGATACACATTCAGTTCATAACAACTAGTCCAGAATATGAGATGATTGCATCTTGGTACACTCTGTTTTTAAACATGGACCTGAAAGGTCTATTAACATAGTCAACTTTCTTATGAAAAACCTTACAACTGGAATGTTTATGTATAAATATTCACAATTTTAGGTCTTAGTCATTAAAGCACACCCATAGGGCTCTAGAGAAGATGCCTCTGGTGCCCTAGTCACTACCTCTCAATCCAGCTCTAATTTCAGCTACAGCACCTCTTTAAATTAACTTCATGCTGACAGCCTCTCATCTCAAGTTCTTGGTGCATTTTCGTACTCACTGCTGTAGAGCTTTCTCTGAAGCCAGGAGAATCTGACATCTCCTCCCCTGTCTTATTCTCCCAATATCTTGACTGTCCTTTCTTGGGGTCAATTCGCCCAAAAAGCCACCAGCACGTAATGCCCTGTCCCAGGCTCTGCTTTTAGAAGGTTTCAAAACTAAGATGGCTCTCAACTTGGAATTTCACTGTGTACTTGCTTGTGTGAAAAAAATAACAATTTAAAATGTTTTCTTTGATATATTTAAGGTTCAGAATTTTTCATAGCTTCAGCCTGACCTTACCTAAATGTATCTCATTATTTCAGTTATTAATATATTTGACTTTGAGACTTCCTGGAATTCATAGGAAGAAAGCCTGCTTGTTTTGTTCTGTTTTGATTTTTCTTGTCTTACCTGACTGTAGACTCATCCTCTCTTAGTTGGAGACATGGGCTGATTTTAGAACTTTTATGAACTAAATAATCTTCATTTAAAAAAATAAATGAAAATAGCAGTGGAGGTGTGGTCATTAAATTTGACAGCTTTTTATAAGTGATTCTCAGCTTGGCCAGCTGCCCTTCATAAGGCAAAGGCACTCTCAGCTGTTGCTGTGGATAGATTTATGGAAACTGATTCAATGTGAATATTGACACATTCTCTAGAAGTGAATATGAACTCTATCTGAAGTTCAAAGCCAATACAAATCTGAAATGTCTAAGCCTTCTTTCTTTCATTTATATATGTCTTTAAGAAAAAGGGGATATCGGTAATAAATTTGTTATATGGACGTGGTATATTGTTTTTGGTCAGGAACATATTTGAACCTGAAAAGAATTAACAGATATATAAATCAGACTGAATTTCTATGCTCTTCATATATCTAGAGGATCCTTTCTTTTTACCTGACTCTTACATAGTTTAACAGCCAGTCTTCCAATCCTACCATAAGCTCAGGAAAGGCTAGTTAGTGCCATCTAATGACTGCTGATGTGCTTATGTTATTCTCTTAAAGGTATGTGGAGTCTGTTAAATATTGTCTCCTAAAGTCCCATGCAGATGGCTTCATTGTAAGCAAGAGGTGACTACAATTAAATAGAATTTAGCCAGAGGTTTCCATGCCAAGGTAATCTTTTCTGTGTTTCTCATCTATTATGTACCATGATTCAGAAAGTAAACATAACTGGGTATCAGTTAAGGGTAGGTTTTATTGGGAAAGTAGAAACTCCTATAAACAAAGAGTGAGCAAGAGAAAAAACTGATAAGCCCACACAACCAACCCCCATCTCCTCATCTCCTCACAGTGAGGCATGTTGTGGCCAGGGCTCTATAGGATTTTCTCTGTGAGTCTGTTGCATGGGATGAGACCTCAGTCATCCCTCCTTCAAACCCTCAGTCACTATATGCACAAGCATGATAGCAACCTTGTTGGGAAGGCAGTAGACTCCTTGATGTAGGAAGTCTGGATATAAGGATCAGGAATTTACAGGAGTAGACCATAGCCACACAATCCCCAGTGACCTTGAGGTCCATGGGAAGTCGTAATCACTTTTCTGGAAGTAGAATGACTCCAGAACTGTGGGAAGCTGAGTTTGTGTGCATCCCCCGGACTGGGAGCAGGGCCAATCCAGACCCAGTTAGCCCTTTGTCTAGGACATCCAGGGATCTTTCATGGAGTGACTCTTGGACAAGTCTGCTTTATCAGATTTCTCAGAAGAACTAGATCAAAGAAAAGAGTAAAGGTCTGCCTCAAATTCAAAAGTTTTTTCCACCTTATTAAGCAATAAAGGAAGAAAAGGGCACCCATTTAGCTAATCAGTTCAGCTAAGTCAATCTTGGCAGTCACCAGGGTGGCAATTGTCGTAGTTACATTGTTGCAAATATGTTCTGACACTCACACATTTTAACCAAGGTCGATGTGTGTGGTTTACTTTACCTGACATTCATATAGATATTTCAGCTTTTTTTTCTGGTTAGTTTTTGCATGGCCTATTTTTCTCCACTCTTTTCCTTTTAGGCTGTCTGTGCTGTTGTGGGTCTCTTGTAAAGAGCATTAATTGGGTCTTGCTTTTTAATCCAATGTGACAAGATTGTTCTTATGATTGATGTATTTAGACCATTCACATTTAAAATAATTATTGATATATTTGAATTAAAATATATTGCAATTTTTTTATTTTCTACTTTCTTTTCTTTTTCTGTCTTGGAATAACAGAATTTTAATGATTTTTATCTGTTTTGTAAACTTAAGATTTTACCTCTTTTTGAAATTACGTTTAGTGATTGCTCTAGGGCTTACAATATACTTTTAAAATTAATCTGAGTCTACCTTTAAAAATAATCATAAGGCTGGGTGCAGTGGCTCATACCTGTAATCCCAGCACTTTGGAAGGCTGAGGGAAGTGGATTGCTTGAGCCCAGGGGTTTAAGACCAGTCTGGGCAACATGGCAAAACATCATTTCTACAAATAATACAAAAAAATTAGCTGGGCATGGTGATCCATGCCTGTAGTCCCAACCACTTTGGAGGCTGAAGTAGGAGGATGGCTTGAGCCCGGGAGGTGGAGGCTGCAGTAAACCAAGATCATGCCACTGCACTCCAGCTTGGCAACAGAGTGAGACCCTGTCTCTCTCTCTCTCCGTGTGTGTGTGTGTGTGTGTATGTATATATGTATACATATGTGTATATATGCATAATTATATATATATACACATAGATATATAGATACATCTATATACCTATATATAAATATGTATATATGTGTATATAGATATATCTCTATGTATATATGTGTATATATACATATGTATGTATAGATATATATAGATGTTTATATATATATAAATATGTATATAGATGTTTATATATATCTATATAAATATATATATTACCACATTACTTATATTGTCAGGGATTTTCAACAGTGTTATTACCACTTTATCCCTCCCACCCTTTGTGCTATTGTTTTCATATATATTGCTTTTATATATGCTATAATTATACAATACAGTGTTATAATTTTATTTGAAACAGTTACCTTTTAGAGCAATTGTATGTTTGAAATGATTTTTATTTTATGTTTATTTGTTTCATTTCCAATTTTCTTTATTTCTTTATGAAGATCCATATTTTATATTGATCCAAGTTTCTAATCTAAGTTGTTCTGCTTGAAGAAATTCTTTTAACATTTTCTGTAGGATAGGTCTGTTATTAATAAATTTCTTTAGTCTTTGTTTTGCAGACATTTTTATTTCTCCTTTATATATCTTGTTTTATTTTATTTTATTTTATTTTTGAGACAGGGTCTCACTTTGTTACCCAGGCTAGAGTGCAGTGGTATGATCTCAGCTCACTGCAGCCTCAACCTCTTGGGCTCAAGATATCTTCCTACCTCAGTCTCCCAAGTAGCTGGGACTACAGGTGTGCACCACCATACCAGCTACTTTTTTTGTAGACATGGGGTTTCACCATGTTGCCCAGGCTGGTCTCAAGCTTCTGAGATCAAGTGATCCACCTGCCTCAGCCTCCCAAACTGCTGGGATTACAGGTGTGAGCCATTACGCCCAGCCTCTTCTTTGTTTCTGAAATATGTTTTTGCTGGTCTAGAATTCTGGGTTAGGAGATTTTTTTCCTTTTAGCACTATTAAAGACTGTTCATTATCTTCTTGAATGCATAGTTTCTGACAATAAATGCACTGTAATCTTTAATCTTGTTCCTCTGTAGGAAATGTCTTTGTCCTACAGCTGCCATGAAGATTTTCTCTTTGTCTTTGAATATTTTATGAGTTTGAATATTTCTTCATTTGTATTTGGCATTATTTAAGCTTTTTGAATTTGTGGTTTAATATATGTCATTAATATTGAAAAATTCTTGACTATTTATTTCTTAAAATATGTATCCTGACCTGTTGTGTCTCTCACTGCTCTTTGCAAGATTTCAATTACATGTTAGTTCTTTTTATTTCTGTTTGAGTAATTTCTATTGACCAATCTTCAACATCACTGATTTTTTTTGGCTGTGTTTATTCTACTCACAGGACTTCAAAAGCATTCTTTATCTCTCTTACTGTGTTTTTTATTTCTAGTAATTCTATTTGATTCTGTCTTATGGTTACCATCACTCTGCTGAAATTGTCCACATGATATTACCTGTTGTCTACCTTGTCCATTAGAGCCTTCAACATATTAATTATAGTTTTTTAAAATCCCCTGTTTGATAGTTTCAACATCTGTGTCATATGATAATTGCTTTGTCTCTTACAGGTGTGTTTTTCTTGCCTTCCCATGCTTCACAATTTTTGTTAAAAGCTGGATATCTTGTATAGAGCAGTAGATACTGAGGTAAATATTTTTTATGCTTGCAGATCTGTCCACCTTTCCTTCTTTTAAACCTGAAGTGTAGGGGTTTGTGTTCATCTAGATAGGAGTTAGACTGGATTTGAGGTTTCTGTTGCTATGGTTACCACAGACTTAAATTTTTTTCAAGTGATATTTTGTGTTTAGGTGTTAGGCTGGTTTGTAAGAGATTATTTTTCTAATTTCTACTCATCCTTTGGGTCTTTACTTTGGGCTATTTTCCAGACAGAATTTTTCTCTTGGTCTTCTCCCATCTGTATCCCACTGTCATTTTTACTTTACACTTTCTTAGCCTGCTGGTAAAGAGTGGATGGGTGGTTCTCTGTTCTGATTAAGCCCTGTCTTCTGCAATTATAGTGTCCCTGAGTTTCAGAAGTTTTGTCTTCCCAAGTGTTCCTGATCTTCTTCCAGATCTAGCCCTGTACCTGTCCCTTCCCCAGTGGTTGAGCTTCATTTTTTTCTTTTTCTCAGCTTCAGTGGGCTTCTACCAGTGCCCTAATAAAATATTTTTTTCTTTGCTTCTCCCCCGTAGATTTAGACTTTTGTTCCATATTGGAGATAGGAGAAGCTGGTCTGCAAGTGTTTCAGCAGTGTTACTGTTCTTCCCCAGCCAACGCTGGGAGGGAATTTTTTGTAAGAATCCTCCCATAATTTTCATTTGAATGTGTGCTGGAGTTCGTGGAGGGATAAGTCTGTAAGTGCTAATACCTCTCCGTTGGTAGTTCCCAGCAGCTTTATACTCTCACTCCAACCCACAATCCACTTTTAGTAAATCATTTAAGATTCTATTGGAATTATTCTCTCTGCCTTATATGGTGTTTATGTATATCTGCCCCAGGTGAAATAAGTGCTGAGGTCCTATTTATTCTGTAGCTGACTATCTCTTTGGATCTTTGGTTAGTTGTTTGCTCTGTTACATCAGTTCTGTAGTGTAATCAAAATGATTTGTTAAGGAGCAGTTAGTCCAGGTTTTTGTTTGTTGTTAGTATGGGAGTAATGCTCTTTCCAGCTGTCCATATCTCTGCACTGAAACTGAACTCTGCAATGTCTATTGGAGAGTAGTGCTAAGTTTCCCAAATTCACTGGAACACTCAACGTAGGAAAGACGTGTCTTCTCCCTAAGATGATCTATAGATTTATGTAATTCCTACCCAGTAAGGAGTTTTCAGACATAATACAAGCTAATTCTAAAAATTAAATGAAAAGACAAAAGACAGTAACTAAAACAGTATTGAAAAAGAATAAAGTAGGTGGAATCACTCTATCCAATGATAAGCTTTATTATAGCTACATTAATCAAGAAATTATGGTATTGAAAGCTGGATAAACACACAGATGAATTGAACAAAACAGAGAACCCCAAACAGACCCACACAATTATGCCCAATGGATTTTTTTTTACAATTGCATAAAAGCAGTTCAATGGAGGAAGAATAAATTTTTCAATAGATGATGCTGGGAAAATTGGGTATCTATAGGCAAAACAAAACAAATCCCATCCCAAATGTCGTATCTTATGCAAAAATTAACTGAAAATGGATCATGGGCTTACATGTAAAACAAAAACCCAAAAATTTTATAGAAAAAAATGGGAGAAATTCTTCAGTTCTGAAGGCTAGCCAAAGAGTTTTTAATTGTGACACCAAAAGCAGAATCCATTAAGGAAAAATCAAGAAACTAGACCTCATCAGAAGTAACTCTTTTCTTCTGTGAAAAAAGCTGTGAAGAAGAAAAAGGGAAAATAGACTTAAATAAAATACTTTTAATTCATATATTCAGCAGCGACTTTGTATTTAGAATATATAAAGAAATCTCAAAACTGAACAGTTAAAATTAATTACAAAATGAGTAGAGACATGAACAAAAATTTCACCAAAGAGGGCATGCAGATTACACATAAACACATGAAAAAGTATTCAACACTATCCTTTAGGGAAATACAAATTCAAACCATAATGAGCTACCACTACATACCTGTTAGAATGGTAAAATGAAAAATAGTGATGACACCAAATGCTGGCAATAATTTAGAGAAACCAGATCCACTCATACATTACCGATGGGGATGCAAAATGGTACAGTCATTCTGGAAAATAGTTTGATAGATTCTTATAAAACTATCATAAATTTATAATTTGACTCAGTAGTTGTACTGTTGGGCTTTTATCTAAGAGAAATGATAACTTGTGTTCATACAAAAACCTGTATTTGAATGTTCATAGCAGTTTTATTCACAATGGCCCAAACTAGAAACAACTGCAAGGTTCTTTAACTGGAAAATGCTTAACTAAGGGAGTTTAAGCATGGAATATTATGAAGGGGTGACAAGGAATAAATTATTGTTATACCCAACAGCCTAAATAAATCTCTCGGAGATTATGATGAAGAAAAACAAAGCTAATCTCAGAAAGTTATATACTCTGATTCCATTTGCATACCCTTATTGAAATTATAGAATTATGGAAACAGAGAAATTGTTAGTGTTTACCAGGAGTTAGGAAAGAGGGTTAAAGGTTGGTGTGGACATGAAAGGATAACAAAAGGAAGCCTTGTGATGGAACAATTCTGCATCATTATTGTGGTAGTGTTAACATGAAGTTACATGTGACAGAATTATATACAGCTACACATACATACAGGAAAATGAGTGCATGTAAAACTCTTGATCTAAAGGATTGGTGGATTCTTTCAGTGCCAATTTCCTGGTTTTTGATATTACACTGTAGATAAGAAAATTGAGTTAAGCATGTCCAACAAATTGCGGGAAGGGTACGAGTGACTTCTCTATACATTTTTTGCAACTTCCTGTGAATCTGCGGCTATTGCAAAATAAGATTAAGAAAGAGTCCCCAAAGAGTACATGGATTATTATTTGCCTATGTACTAACTGTTATATAGAATTTTAATCATGAAACAAATAATGTAAAAGATTATTTGCCTTGAAAAGCTAGGACTTGAAGATATGACAGGTTTATTACCATATAAATAGTGATCTAGGCCGGGCTCAGTGGCTCATGCCTGTAATCCCAGCACTTTGGGAGGCCGAGGCAGGCAGATCACAAGGTGAAGAGATAGAGACCATCCTGGCCAACATGGTGAAACCCTGTCTCTACTAAAAATACAAAAATTAGCTGGGCGTGGTGGTGTGCACCTGCAGTCCCAGATGGTCTCAGCTACTCATGAGGCCAAGGCAGGAGAATTGCTTGACCCGGGAGGCGGAGGTTGCAGTGAGCCGAGATCGTGCCCGTGCACTCCAGCCTGGTGACAGAGTGAGACTCCATGTCAAAAAAAAAAAAAATTAAAATTAAATAAAAATAAATAAATACTGATCTAAGATAGTTTGCTAAAAGAAAAATTATATGAATATTCAAAAGTGTAGGAAACTCAAAAGAAATATTTCTAAAGGGCTAATTGGTAGATCTGAGTACTTCAGCCAAAAGATGTGTTGTATAATGATAGCTTAATCAAAAAGTTATTTTGGGGGTGGGGGTGGGGTGGTTAGAGCCTAAAAAATTATTTTGAAATAAAGTTTTGGGATTATAAATGTGTTCTATGCTTTATAAACTGGCTAGAACTTTCAGAGAAAATAAGCACTGATTAAAAAACAAAACTAAGGCAAACATTTTAAAATGATAATTTATACATATTAGATGAAATATAAAACTACTTATCACTTAATTTCATGCTTCTTATAATCTCAAAATAATACTGTGTCTCCAGATAAACAATTTTTTGAGGATAAGTCTATAGCTTTTATATACACTTTATGTGGTCTAAAAAACTCAACCACACATTTATTAAGAACTTCCTAAATAACAAACTTTTGTTCATTTTTGAATGTAATTTTTAAACAATCTATAAAGTTGTCATTTGTATCCCTATTGTGCAGAAAAGAGAACTGAGACTCAGAGCTGCCTTGCCCAGTGTCACATAGCTAATAAGCTATGGATTCAGGATTCAAATCCTAGTCTCATTTTAAAGTAATTTTCTTTTCACTGCAACACTGACTTTTTTCTTTCCCTAATTTACTGCAGAACCCTTCACAGTGCTCATCAGATAGAAAGCACCCAATGGTACTCATTGATTAATGAGTACCATGAATTTAATCTTCAAGTGCAATTAGTTCAGTAATGTGAGTTACTTGGCCTACAGCTTATGGCCATTGCCAGCACAGCAATGAAGTATCTATGTATCAGGCTTTTTTCTCAAAGCGTGTCAAAACTGTAGTCTGTAAGTCAACTGTGATTACCGCATCCTGGGATTTTCTTGCACAAACCAGCTCACTAACAACCTACATCAATTGGAAGTCTTTCTACCAGAGGCAGAAATTAACCCACAGGATCCTTTTTTGGGCATAGTTTTCCCTGTGAAGAGCCATCCTGCAAACCTCAGGTGTTTGGGAGCATATGAACTGATCCAACATCTCGTTGAAAATCATTGAGCACTCACAATGCCAGCTTAATTGCAGGCTAAGGTGGTTTCTCCCCCATTTGTGTGTGAAGGGCTAGTACTGTACAGTGACTCGGAGGCAGCTGGGGCAGGAGCACTAAGGGTGAGTGATGACCATGGTAGCAAAGGGTCTGCACTGGGTTTACACGCGGGTACAGCAGCAGCTTTCTAATTGAACTTACTGTGCGGGCAAATTAATCACTGTGACAGATTCCCACTAATCTGCTTGATTGAACTGTCATTTCAGCAGGACCACTTTACTGTCTCTGTCGTGGGTACAGCCATGGTCCCCAAGTACAGCAGGTCCTCAAATAACCTGAGGAAAAAAATTGTTTCTTGGCCAGGGCCACTGTCTATGTGGAGTTTGCATGTTCTTCCCAGTCTGTGTGGGTTTTCTCCCGCTACTCCAGTTTCCTCTCACATCCCAAAGACGTGCACATTAGGCTGATTGTTGTGTCCAAATGGTCCCAGTCTGGATGAGTGTGGGTGGGTGTGAGTGTGCCCTGCAATGAGATGGCATCCTGTCCGGGGCTGGTTCCCACCTGTGCCCTCAGCTGCTAGGATAGGCTCTGGCCACCCTTGACCCTGAACTGCAATAAGTGGGGAAATCATTATCTTATTTGTTTTTTATTAATCTTTCTTAAAATGTATGGCTAGCTCATGTTTATTCCAATGTTTAATGGCAGAAGTGTTTGGGGTCTTTATTTAGAAGTTTGGTGATGTTTTTTGTGACCAGAAATGTGCCTTAGGAACTTAACTCTTGTTTATAAATAGCCTATGGTAAAATTGGTTTTGTTATATGTCATTTAGCTTAAAGTCACAGTTTCCAAGAACCTGTCAACTACATTAAGGACTTACCGTACCACTTTTCCCAAAGGTAGACATGCTCATGAGTATCTGTACCACTGACAGCTGGCCATCTGCTGTAATGTATATTGCATATGTATTTCTGATCAACACAATGAGCATATGCCTGTGTCTCCCTTTCCCAAAAAGAGTATTGCGTATTAATAGCTTTGAAGGAAGAACTGTTAGTTGAAAAAGGCTAAGAGGATTAAAAAAAACACCCCAACTCAGAAATCCAATTCAGCAAATATTAAATGCCTAATATGGGCCAGGCACAGAAATACATGCTGAAGATAAAGGTTTGTAAAGGACAGATGTGAATGCTTTACTCACAAAGTTTATATTCAGCTTACCAAGGTGTGCTTTCTCTCTTCCGGTTTTTCTTCTATTCTCTCCTAGGACTAAAATTTAGGGAAGGGAACTTTCAAAGAATAGAGTAGGTCCTAAATGGGGAGGCAGTATTTGCCCACTGCTTCAGCCTACCCATTTTAGACTCAAGCAGGTGTGAATTTGAAATGTGACTCCCTCATTTACAAGCTCTGTCATCTTAGTCAAGAATATTAAGCCCTCTGAATTTTAGCCTTTTAATAAATAAAGATTATGATGCTAATTTAAGAATAGTTCAAAGAATAGAAGTGGGGATTATACAGGAGTATAGAAATAAAATGCTTAGTCCAGTGTGTCTAGCATGTATAGTAAGTATTCAATAAATGTTAGTGATTATTAGGTTCAAATGGCACAGTAAGGGCATTTATGCCAAAGGGGGTGCAAAATGCCTTTCCTGATGCTATCTGCTGCCTCTGTGTTGCATGGCACAATCTTTTTCCTTGAGCGTTCCCTACTGTGTAGGCTGTGAATCATGTACAGGCAATGATTGCAGAAAATAGGTGTGAAGAATTCAATATTTATGCTATTTAACTAACAGCCTCCTCTTCTGAAGCACTTTAGCTATCACACAGTTTGATTCAAAAATAATTGATGGGAGTGAAGAGTCAAATGATTCTTTCTTTTCATCCTTAATTAAATATTAAAGACAAAGCCTGACTGATGGCAAGAGATGGCTGCTTTTGGCCTGGACTTCAATGTTAAGGAGAAAAAATATCACAAAGAAAAAAAAATCGAAGGTTTGAAAAATGGTGCCAATGAGGAATTTGAGCCTGCATTTCAAAGGTCTATGAACAGCCAAGTCTCATTGATTTATTGGGTGGAAAAGTGTAACTTTTAATTTACTTTTTATCTTGGTGAATAAACCTGTATAAATTTGGAATTATTGCAATTTCTTTGTAAATAGCTTTATTGAGGCATAATTGACATACAAAAAACTGCACACATAAAAATTGCACAATTTGGTAAGTTTAGGCATATATATATACATATATATATGTATATATATATATATATATACATATATATATGTATATATATATATATACATATATATATGTGTATATATATATATATATATATATATATATATATGTATATATATATATATATATGTACACCCTTGCAACTGTCATCGCACAGAAGATTCGAAACACATATAGCATGAGAAAATACTTCTTCCTGCCCCTTAGTAATCCTGCCCTTCCTTCTCTGTCCCTCATCTTTAAATACCTGCTAACCTACTCTCTGACAGATTAGTTTGTGTTTTTTAGAATTTTATATAAATAAAATCAATGTGGGTGACTGGCTTTTAAAAATTCAACATAATTACTTTGAGAATTACACGTGTGTATTGATATTTTCTTTTCATTGCTACATAAAATTCCTTGTGTGGATGTGCTACAAATTACCTGTGAGTAGCTCCCTATTGATGGATATTTGTTTCCAGTTTCTGACTGTTACAAATAAAGCTTCTCTGAATATGCATATACAAGTGATAAAATATAACTATGTTTTCACTTCTATTAGGCAAATTCTTAGGAGTGGAATGGCTATTTGATATGGCAGGTGGCTGTTTAACTTTATAAGAAACAGCCAAATTATTTTCCAAATTGAAAGTATCATTTTACGTCTGAACCAGCAGTGTATAAGAATTCTAGTTCCTCCACATCCTTGTCAAACTTGTATGATCAGTATTCTCAGTTTTAGCTATTCTAATAGGTGTGTAGTGGTATCTCATTGTGGTTTCAATTAGCATTTTCCTATTGCTAAAGATATTGAGCTTAGTAGCAATTCATCCAATCTTCTTTGCTGAAGTATGCAATCATATATTTTGCTCATAATTTTATTGGCTTGTTTGTTTTCTTATCTTTGAGTTTTTAGCGTTTTTAAAAAAATATATTTTGGGTACAAGTTCTTTGTGATTTCTAAGTATTACCTCCCTGTCAGTGGATTCTTTTCATTCTCTTAAAGTCATTTCTCACAGAGCAATTTTTTTTTAGGTTTAATAAAGTCCAATCATTTGATTTTTAAAAATGTGAATTATGCTTTTGTTGCTGTATCTAAAAACTCATCACTAAACACAAAGTCACAGGTTTTCTCCTATGTTTTTATCTAGAAGTTTTAGAATTTAAAATTTTACTTTTAGGCCAGGCGCGGTGGCTCATGCCTGTAATCCCAGCACTTTGGGAGGCCGAGGCAGGCAGATCACCTGAGGTCGGGTGTTCGAGACCAGCTGGGCCAACATGGCAAAACCTCGTCTCTACTAAAAATACAAAAATTAGCCAGGCGTGGTGATAGGCGCCTGTAATCCCAGCTACTCGGGAGGCTGAGGCAAGAGAATTGCTTGATCCTGGGAGAGAGAGATGGCAGTGAGCTGAGATTGGGTCATTGCACTCCAGCCTGGAGGACAAGAGCGAGACTTTGTCTAAAAAAAAAAAAAATTACTTTTAGGTATGATATATTTTGAGGCAATTTGTGTGAGGTATATACTGAGGTTTTGTATTTTGTATATTATGTCTAATTGTTGGAACACAGTTTGAAAAAATGATCTTTAATCTTTTCAGTTAAGGCTATCCTTAATTGAATTGCCTTTGCACCTTTGTCAGCTGTCAATATGTTGATGATACTTGTGTGACTCTATTTCCAGGCTCTCTATTCTTTTCCATTGGTGTATTTTTCTAACTTTTCACCAACAACACTCTCTCTTGACTATTGCAAGCTCTTTGTATTAAGTTTTGAAATTGGAGATGGTGAGTCCTCTCATGTTGTTCTTATCTTTATTTCAGAATTGAATTGGCTATTCTAGTTCATTTGCTTTTTCAAATAGATTTTAGAATTAGCCTGTTGATACCTACAAATAAGCTTGGAGGAATTTTAATCAGTATTGCAATAAATATTTTCTTAAATTGGAGAGAGGTCACATTAATACTATTGAGCCGTCTAAACCAAGAATATGGCATATATCTCCATTTCTTTGAAAGACATTTCTTTAATCAGTGTTTTGTAATATTCAACATAATTATTGACATGTTTTATTAGATTTATACCTAAGTACTTTGTTTTATTTGGTGCTTTTATTGCTGAACATTAACTTATATCCATTTTGTGTTTTTTATATTTAAAGTTCATTCGAGTGTTTCATTGCAACTATAGAGGGATGTGATGGGCTTTTGTATATCAGCCTTTGATATGGTTTGGTTCTCTGTTCCCACCCAAATCTCATCTCGAATTGTAATCCCTGGGAGGTGAGTGGATCATGGGTGCAGTTTCCCCCATGCTGTTCTTGTGGTAGTGAGGGAGATCTCATGAGATCTGTTGGTTTAAATGTGACAGTTTCCCCTGCATGCTCTCTCTCTCTGTTGCCACCGTGAGAAGATGTGTCTTGCTCCACCTTCATCTTCTACCTTGATTGTAAGTTTCCTGAGGCCTCCCCAGCCATGCAGAACTCTGAGTCAATTAAACCTCTTTCCTTTATAAATTACCCAGTCTCAGGTATTTCTTTATAGCACTTTGAAAACAGAGAATTGGTACCAGTAGAGTGGGGTACTGCTATGAAGATAATCTGCAAATGTGGAAGTGACTTTGGAACTGGGTACCAGTCAGAGATTGGAACAGTTTGGAGGGCTCAGAAGAAGACAGGAAGATGTGGGAAAATCTGGGACTTCCCAGAGACTTGTTGAATGGTTTTGACCAACATGCTGATAATGATATGGACAATGAAGTCTGGTCTAAGGTGGTCTCAGATGGAGATGAGGAACTTACTGGGAACTGCAGTAAAGGTCTCTGATGCTATGTTTCAGCAAAGAGACGGGCAGCATTTTGCCCCTGCCCTAGAGATCTGTGGAACTTTGAACTTGAGATAGATGATTTGGGATACCTGGCAGAAGAAATTTCTAAGCAGCAAAGCCTTCAAGAAGTGACCTGGCTTTTCCTGAAAGTATACAGTTATATGTGCTCACAGAGAGATTATTTGAAATGGGAACTTATGTTTAAAGGGGAAGAAGAGTGTAAAAGTTTGGAAAATTTGCAGCCTGGCCATGTGCTGGAAAAGAAAAATCCATTTCCTGGCATGGAATTCAAGCCTGCTGAAGAAATTTGCATAAGTAAGGAGGAGCTGAATGTTAATCACCAAGACAATGGGGACAATGTTTCCAGGGAATTTCAGAGATCTTCAAGGCAGCCCGTTCCATCATAGGCTTGGAGGCCTAGGAGAGAAAAATGGTTCCATGGGCTAGGGCCAGGGCCCAGCTGCTCTCTGCAGCCTCAGAACTTGGTGCCTTGCATCCCAGGCACTCCAGCTCCAGCCATGGCTAAAAGGGGCCAATGTAGTTAAGGCTGTTGCTTCAGAGGGTGCAAGCCCCAAGATTGGCAGTTTCCACGTGGTGTTGGGCCTTCGTGTGCACAAAAGACAAGAATTGAGCTTTGGGAGCCTCTGCCTGGATTTCAGAGGATATATGGAAATGCCTGGATGCCCAGGCAGAAGTCTGCTGCAGGGGTGGAGCCCTCAGAGAAAACCTCTAATAGTACAATGTGGGGTTGGAGCCCCCACACAGAGTCCTCACTAGGGCACTGCCTAGTGGAGCTGTGAGAAGAGGACCATCATCCCCCAGACCGCAGAATGGTAGATCCATCAACAGCTTGCACCATGTGCCTGGAAAAGTCACAGGCAATGCCAGCCTGTGAAAGCAGCTGCCATGGCTGTACCCTGCAGTGCCACAAGGGTGGAGCTGTGCAAGGCCTTGGGAGCTTACCCCTTGCATCAGCATACTCTTCATGTGAGATATGAAGTAAAAGGAGATCGTTTTATAGCTTCAGATTTAATGAGTGCCTTGCTGGGTTTTGGACTTGCATGGGGCCTGTGTCCCCTTTGTTTTGGTCAATTTCTCCCATTTGGAACAGGAGCATTTACCCAATACCTGTACTCCCATTGTATCTTGGCAGTGACTACCTTGTTTTTTTATTTTATAGGCTCATAGGTGGAAGCGACAAGTGACTATTTGCTTTGTCTCAGATGAGACTCTGGACTTGGATTTTTGGCTTATTGCTGGAATGAGTTAAGACTTTGTGGGGGACTGTTGGGAAGGCATGATTGGTTTTGGAATGTGAAAAGGACATGAGATTTGGGAGGGGCCAGGGGAAGAATAATATGGTTTGGCTCTGTGTCCCCACCCAAATCTCATCTTGAATGGTAATCCCCATATGTCGAAGGAGGGACCTGGTGGAAGGTGATTGGATCATGGGAGCAGTTTCCCCCATGCTGTTTTCATGATAGTGAGAGCTCATGAGATGTGATGGCTTAAATGTGGCATTTTCCCCTGTGCTGTCTCTCCTGCCCCATGAGAAGACATGCCTTGCTTCCCCTTTATCTTCTGCCATGATTATAAATTTCCTGAGGCCTCCCTAGCCATATAGAACTGAGTCAATTAAAACTCTTTCCATTATAAACTACCCATTCTCAGATATTTCTTTATAGCAGTGTAAAAATAGACTATTTTATAGTCTTTTTATAGCAGCATGAAAATAGAAAACCTTGTTTCCTGTTTGCTTGCCAAACTCACTTACTAGCTCTAGAAGTTTTCTTATAGATTCTTTCAGATTTTCTGAGTAGAAAATAACATTGTCTGTAAATACTCTAATTTTTTTCTTTCTAATCTGTGTGCCTTCTGTTTGTTTATTTTTGTCTTGTTACTTGAGGTAGAACTTCTAATACGGTTTTGGAGAGAATTGGTGACAACAAACATACTTGTCTTTTCCTAATCTTAGAGGGTAAACATTCAGTATAATCCTTTCTTTATGCTTTTCACTGTTATTCTTTGTTAGGCTAAAAATTTATTTTTGTATTTCTAATTTGCCAAGAGATTTGATAAAAAAAAATTGAATTTTGGAAAATGGGTTTGCTGCATCCACCAATGCAATTATTTGGTTTTTCTTATGTAGTGTGTTAATTTAGTGTATAACTTTGGTTGAATTTGGAAAAATGGTCCAAACTTGTATTCCTGAGAGGAACCTCAATTGATCATGATGAACCATCCTTTTTATATATTGTTATATTTGATTTGCTAATATTTTGTTGAGCATTGTCATATGTGTGATCATGAGAGATATTCGTTGATAGCTTTATGTTCTTGTAATGTATTTGATTTTCATGTTGGAGGAATACTGGCCTAGTAAAATGAGTTAGAGAGTGTTATCTCTTCTTCTATTTTCTAGAATAGGTTAATAGAATTTTAGATATTTCTTGCTTATATGTTTTACAGATTTTATCAATGAAACCAACTGTGCCTGTAGTTTTCTTCTTTGGAAGATAATATAACTACAAATTTGATTTCTCTATGATCATATAGGTTATTTATTCTCCAGTGAATTATGATAGAATAGTAATGGTTTATGTTATCTAAATTATTGAATACAGTTATTTAATAACTGCATTCAATTTATTGATCTAAATTATTGGATATAATTATTTGAAATATTCTCTTATTATCCTTTTAATTTCTATGGGCTCAATCATAATGTCTCCTCTTTTATTCCTGATACAGATAATTTTTTCTTGGTTAGCCTGGCTAGAGGTTTATCAATTTTATTGAAGTTTTCAAAGAACCAGCTTTAGTTTCATTGGTTTTCTGTATTGGTTTTCCAGTTTTTACTTTATTGACATCTTTTCCACTTTTCATTATTTCCTTTCTTCTACTTGCTTTGGGTTTAATTTTTTCTTATTTTTCTCATTTCTTGAAGTATAAGCTTAGGTTACTGATTTTAGATTTTCTTTCTTTTTGAATATATATATTTGATGGTATGAATTTTCCTCTAAGCATTGTCTCAGATGCACCACAAAAATGTTGACATGTTGTAAATAAACTCAGTAAAAAGTGGGCAGAGGACATAAACAGACACTTTCAAAAGAAGACATACAAGTGGCCAGCAAACATATGAAACAATACTCAACATCACTAATCGTTCAGAGAAATGAAAATCAAAACCACAGTGAAATTCCACCTTACACCACTCAGAATGTCTCTTATTAAAAAGCCAAAAAATAACATGTTGGGAAGGTTGCAGAGAAAAGGGAACACCTATAACTATTGATGGGAAGGTAAATTAGCTTAGCCACTATGGGAAGCAGTTTGAAGGTTTTTTGTTTGTTTGTTTGTTTGTTTGTTTTTGTAATGGAGTTTTGCTCTTGTCACTCAGGCTAGAGTGCAGTGGCACAATCTCAGCTCACTACTACCTCTGTCTCCTGGGTTCAAGCGATTCTCCTGCCTCAGCCTCTCAAGTAACTGAGATTACAGGCATGCACCACTACGCCTGGCTAATTTTCGTATTTTTAGTGGAGATGGTGTTTCACCATGTTGGCCAGGCTGGTCTCAAACTCCTGACCTCAGGTGACCCACCCGCCTTGGTCTCCCAAAGTGCTGGGATTACAGGTATGAGCCACCACACCCAGCAACACTTTGGATATATTTTTTAAAGAACTTAGAACTACTATTCAACCCATCAATCCCATTACCCAAAGGAAAATACATTGTTCTATCAAAAAGACACATGCACTTATATGTTTATTGCAGCACTATTCACAAGAGCAAAGACATGGAATCAGTCAGACTTGTCCATCAATGGTGCATCGGATAAACAAAATGTGGTACCTTTATACTGTGGCATACTACATAGCCACAAAAAATGAAATCATATCCTCTGCAGCAAGATGGATGCAGGCCATTATCCTAAGCAAATTACTGCAAGAACAGAAAACCAAATACTATATTCTCCATTACCAAATACAAATGTTCTCAATTATAAGTGGGAGCTTAACATTGGATACATGTGGAAATAAAGGTAGGAAGAGTAGACACTGGGGACTATTAGAGGAGAGAGAGGAAGGGTGGGTATGGGCTGAAAAACTACCTCTTGGGTGCTATGCTCACTACCTGGGTGACAGGATTTTTTGTACACCAAACCTCACGTGTTATGCAATGTACCCATGTAACAAACTTGTACATGTACCTCTTGAATCTAAAATAAAAGTAGAAAATTTTTTAGAAGATGAAAAAGCATTGAAAAAAATTTCATATGTTTTATATTTATTTTCGTTCATATCAAAATATTTTTTAAAATGTCCTTGAGTCTTCTGCTTTGAACCATGAGTTTTCTATAAATGCGTTAGTTTCCAAGTATTTCAGGATTTTTTAGGTACTTTTCTATTATAGGTGTCTTGTTTAACTTTACTATGGAATATGTATTCTTTCCTTGTTGTATCCAGCTTTCTATTAATGTTCATTAGGTCTATTTGGGTGATAATTTTCCTACGTCTTTTCTACTTTAATAATTTTATTTATATTATCAGTTACTAAGACAAAAGTTTTACATGTATAATTATGGATTTGTCTATCCTTTAATCGTCTATGCTTCATTTATTTAGTTCTTTTGTGAATATATATGTTTAAATATATGTACACATTTATATAGGGTATGTTCCATATTATATATTTATATTTTTTTCTTCAATTTAGTATGTGTCATGGCCACTCCAGCTTTCATTTTTATAGTGTTGGAATAACATACTTTTCCATTTCTGCACTTTTAACCTATTTATATGGAGAGAATATAATGGATATTGCTTTTTTAATACAATGTGACAATCTGTCTTTTTCCAGTTTAGAAAACTTATATTCCATCAAATTGCTAATATTGTTGAATTACACTATGTTACTAGTTGTTCTTTCTTTCATCTTTTCTTTATTACTTTCTTTTTTATCTGCCTGATTTTAAATAAGTTGTATGTTATGATTATTCCACTTATCTTTTCTACTGGCTTTTCATTATTTATACCTCTTGAAAAATAAGTTTAGCAATTATATGGCTTACAATACAAATCTTTCGTATTACAGTTTGCCTTTAAATAAGATTACACATCTTTATATTTAATGGAAAAACCTACAAAAATGTACTCTCAGTTTAGTTATACTCTTCTTTTTGGCATTGCTGTTAATAAAGTGGTCATACGTGCTAATTAGTTTCTGATTGTTTTGTGTATCCTTTGTTCGTTTTCTTTTCTTATTATTTATCTATGCAATTTGGTGATTTTCTGCAGTCATAATGTTTGATTTCTTTCTCTTTCTCATTTGTGTATATGCTCTATCAGTGAGTTTTATACTTCCCTGTGTTTTTATGACAATAGATATTGTTCTTTAGCATCCAGAAGTAGGACCCCCTTAAGCATTTCTGTAGAATTGGTCTAATGGTGATGAATGTCCTCAGTTTTTGCTTGTCTGGGAAAGACTTTATTTCTTCTTCATTTCTGAAGGATATCTTTGCTAGGTGTAGTATTCTTGGATAGCATTTTTTTTCTTTTAACATTTTGAATATATCATCTCACTCTTTTCTGGCCTGTAAAGTTTCTGCTGAGAAATCTGATGTTAGTATAATGGAATTTTCTTAATATGTGACTTGATACTTTTCTCTTGCTGTTTTTAGAATTCTCTCTTTGTCTTTAACTATTGACAGTCTAACTATAAGTTCCTTGGATAAGACCTTTTTGAGTTGAATCTATGTGGCAATGTTTGAGCTTTCTGCATCTGAATGTCGATATCTCTTCCAAAACTTGGAAGGTTTCCCGCAGTAATTTCATTAAATAGGTTTTCTATGACTTTTCCTATCTCTTATCCTTCTGGGACTCCCAAAATTCAAATATCGGTTTGTTTGATGGTGCCCCATATGTCTTTTAGGCTTTCTTCATTCTTTTTTACTTTTTTTTCTGACTGAGTGATTTAAAAAAAACTATTTTTTGAAATTCAGAATTTTTCTTTTGCTTGATCTAATAGATTGTTGAAACTCTCAATTGTATATTTCATTCTTTGGAATTGTTCAGTTTCAGCCTATTTGTTCAGGTTTTTTTCCCTTATAATTTTCATCTCTTTGTTGAATTTCTCATTCAAATCATGAATTGTTTTCCTGATATTTTTTACAGAACACTGTCTATCCGTGCTCTCTTGTATATTGCTGAGTCTCCCTAAGGTCATTATTTTGAATTCCTTTTCAGGCATTTCATAGATTTTCTTTGCTTTGGGATCTGTTATTGGAGAATTATTGTTTTCCTTTGGAAGTGTCATGTTTTCTTGCTTTTTATGTTTCTTGTGTCCTTACATTAATATATGCACATCTGGTATAACAGTTGCTTTTTCCAATTTTATGAAATAGCTTACATTGGGACTTTTTCTGTAGGTGTATCTATAACGTTGGTTGGGTAGGGTACTTTAGTTCTAGATAGGCACTATAGTGTAGTTTCTGTATAATGTAGTCAGCTTCTTGGGCTGTAATCAATGTCAGCAAAATCTGTGAGTTCCTCAGTGGCTTAGGTGGTGATTGTTTATGGACACTATAGTGAGGCTTTGGTGAGAACTGGGGTGCCAGGTGGGTCAGTCCTCAAGCCCCTGGGTGGCATACATGGGCACAGGCTGTGACAGCAGTGAGCCTTGGTGGGTTGGTCCTTGTACCTCTAGGTGGGATGTGTGGGCATTGTTGTTAGTGGTTGCTGGCCAGATGGGCATGTCCTTCAGCCCCTGGGCACCACATGCAGGCATCAGTTGTTGTGGTGGCCTTGGGTGGGCCAATGCTGGGGCCCCCAAGCAGTGCACATGAGCACTGGCAGCAGTAGGCCTGGAAGGACGGTCCTCAGGACCCTGGGTAGCACATGGGTATCTGTGGTGGTAGAAGCAGCCCAGGTGGGCCAGGTTTTTGGTCCCTGATGGTGTGTATGAATGTGCCATGGCCCTTCTGTTAGAGGGGGTGGGGTCACTTTTGGTGGTGGTGGAGCCAGTTAGGCAGCTCTCATGCTCTGGGAAGAGCACACTTTGGCTTTTTGTGTGCTGGGGGCAGCCTCTCTGATGCATTTGATGTACTATTCCCCAGGCTATAGGACATTGTAGGGTTTGGATGCTAGAGATGTGGCTGCACTGCTGGGTCCAGCTGATGTCGCAGTGCTGCAACCCTCTGAATGGATATTGGGAGATGACAGCAGGGTTCCAGGAATGTGGAGATGCAGAGATTATCTAATTATATTTTAAAACACTTAAAAATGAAAACATAATATATTTTAATATTACTTTTATTTTAAACATTGTTGAACTTTTATTTTAAACATTGTTTTATTTTTTATAGATCCAAACTTCTGCCCCATTTAATTTTCCTTCTGGATGACAAATTTTCACTAATATCTTAAAGCATAAATTTCAAAACATAAATCTCAGAGGTTGAAAATCTCCTTTCTTTAATTTTCTTTTTTCTTTTTTTTTTTTTTTTGAGACGGAGTCTCGCTCTGTCGCCCAGGCCGGACTGCGGACTGCAGTGGCGCAATCTCGGCTCACTGCAAGCTCCGCTTCCCGGGTTCACGCCATTCTCCTGCCTCAGCCTCCCGAGTAGCTGGGACTACAGGCGCCCGCCACCGCGCCCGGCTAATTTTTTGTATTTTTAGTAGAGACGGGTTTTCACCTTGTTAGCCAGGATGGTCTCAATCTCCTGACCTCACGATCCACCCGCCTCGGCCTCCCAAAGTGCTGGGATTACAGGCGTGAGCCACCGCGCCCGGCCCTTTCTTTAATTTTCTAAAACAATTTTTTGTAGTCATTTCTGAAAGATATTTTCACCAGTTATAGAATTCTTTGCGTATACAGTTGTACCTCAATATACACATGGGATTGGTTCCAGAACTTCCCGGGTACCAAAATCTGTGTATACTCAAGTCTTGCATTTGATCCTGCAGAATGCATGTATACAAAAATTTGGCCCTTCACATACGTAGATTTTGTATCTCATGAACACTGTATTTTTGATTTGGATTTGGTTAAAAATCATCTGCACATAAGAAGATCCAGGCAACTTAAATCCGTGTTGTTCAAGAATCAACTGTGGTTTTCTTCAAGTACCCTAAGGAAATCTCTCCTTTGTCTTCTGGCTTGCATGGTTTCTGACAAATATGCATAATTATAAATTGTATTCCTTCTCACATGTATTTTCGCCTCTGTCTTCAAGATTTTCTCTGTAGCTTTGGTTTTAATGGTTTTAATATGATATGTCTAAGTGTGTTTCTTTAGGCTTCTATTGTTTCTCGCCTTCTGTGAGCTTTTTGGAGCTGTGGTTTTATGTCATTCATTACTTTTCAAAAATTCTCTGTGATTTTTTTTCCTTCTATAATTCCTTCCTTTCTTCCTGACATTTCATTTACACGTGTTATTTTACACGATATTATCCCACATCTTTGGATGATTTCTTCTTTTTAATTAACACTTTTTAAAATTGGTGTTTCAGTTTGAGTAGTTTGTACTGACCTATCTTAAAGTTCACAAATTCTTTCCTTGGCTCTGTCAATCCTACTGATGAGCCTAAGAAGGAGCTTTCTCAGTAACTATATCATCATCATTTCTATTCTACCCTTTTTTATGGTGTCAGCTTTTTGATAAAATTTTCCATTTGTTTATCCATTTTGTATACTCTTTCCACTAGAGTGTTTAGCATATTAATCATACTTATTTCAAACATACTATACTATAGTTCCATCATCTTGTTGAACAATTCTGCTATAAAGAGACTCTGGTGCATTCTTTTTTTTAAAATTTTTAAATTATACGTTAAGTTCTAGGGTACAGGTGCACAATGTGCAGGTTTGTTACATATGTATACATGTGCCATGTTGGTGTGCTGCACCCATTAACTCGTCATTTACATTAGGTATATCTCCTAATGCTATCCCTCCCCCCTCCCCCCACCCAAAAACAGGCCCCAGTGTGTGACGTTCCCCTTCCTGTGTCCTAGTGTTCTCGTTGTTCAATTCCCACCTATGAGTGAGAACACGTGGTGTTGGGTTTTTTGTCCTTGCGATAGTTTGCTGAGAATGATGGTTTCCAGCCTCATCCACGTCCCTACAAAGGACATGAACTCATCCTTTTTTATGGCTGCATAGTATTCCATGGTGTATGTGTGCCACATTTTTTAATCTAGTCTATCATTGATGGACATTTGGGTTGGTTCCAAGTCTTTGCTATCGTGAATAGTGCCGCAATAAACATATGTGTGCATGTGTCTTTATAGCAGCATGATTTATAATCCTTTGGGTATATACCCAGTAATGGGACGGCTGGGTCAAATGGTATTTCTAGTTCTAGATCCCTGAGGAATCACCACACTGACTTCCACAATGGTTGAACTAGTTTACAGTCCCACCAACAGTGCAAAAGTGTTCCTATTTCTCCACATCCTCTCCAGCACCTGTTGTTTCCTGACTTTTGAACGATCGCCATTCTAACTGGTGTGAGATGGTATCTCATTGTGGTTTTAATTTGCATTTCTCTGATGGCCAGTGATGATGAGCATTTTTTCATGTATCTGTTGGCTGCATAAATGTCTTCTTTTGAGAAGTGTCTGTTCATATCCTTTGCCCACTTTTTGATGGGGTTGTTTGTGTTTTTTCTTGTAAATTTGAGTTCTTTGTAGATTCTGGATATTAGCCCTGTGTCAGATGAATAGATTGCAAACATTTTCTCCCATTTTGTAGGTTGCCTGTTCACTCTGATGGTAGTTTCTTTTGCTGTGCAGAAGCTCTTTAGTTTCATTAGATCCCATTTGTCAATTTTGGCTTTTGTTGCCATTGCTTTTGGTGTTTTAGATATGAAGTCCTTGCCCATGCCTAAGTCCTGAATGGTATTGCCTAGGTTTTCGTCTAGGGTTTTTATGGTTTTAGGTCTAACATTTAAGTCTTTAATCCACCTTGAATTAATTTTTGTATAACATGTAAGGAAGGGATCTAGTTTCAGCTTTCTACATATGGCTAGCCAGTTTTCCCAGCACCGTTTATTAAATAGGGAATCCTTTTCCCATTTCTTGTTTTTGTCAGGTTTATCAAAGATCAGATGGTTGTAGATGTGTGGTATTATTTCTGAGGGCTCTGTTCTGTTCCATTGCTTTATATCTCTGTTTTGGTACCAGTATCATACTGTTTTGTTTACTATAGCCTTGTAGTATAGTTTGAAATCAGGTAGCGTGATGCCTCCAGCTTTGTTCTTTTGGCTTAGGATTGCCTTGGCGATGCAGGTCCTTTTTTGGTTGCATATGAACTTTCAAGTAGTTTTTTCCAATTCTGTGAAGAAAGTCATTGGTAGCTTGATGGGGATAGCATTGAATCTATAAATTACCTTGGGCAGTATGGCCATTTTCACGATATTGATTCTTCCTATCCATGAGCATGGAATGTTCTTCCATTTGTTTGTGTCCTCTTTTATTTTGTTGAGCAGTGGTTTGTAGTTCTCCTTGAAGAGGTCCTTCACATCTCTTGTAAGTTGGATTCCTCTGGTGCATTCTTTAGTATGTCATTGCATTTTTCAACTCTAGATTTTCTGCTTGGTTTTTAAAAACTGTTTCAATATTTTTGTTAGATTTTTCTTTCTGTCTTATCTTGAATTTGTTTGAGTTTCCTCAAAACAACCATTTTACATTCTTTGTGTGAAAGGTAACATATTTTCGTTTCTCTGGAATTCTTCTCTGGTATTTTATTTGGTTCATTTGGAGAGGCCATATTTTCCTGAATGGTCTTGATGCTTGTAAATGTTTGTTGGTGTCTGGGCATTGAAGAATTAGGTATTTATTGTAGTCTTCCCAGTCTGAGCTTGTTTGTACCTGTTCTTCTTGAGAAGGCTTTTCAAGTATTCAAAGGGACTTTGTTATCTAAGTTTTTGATCACTACAGCCATACCTGCATCAGGGGGCAATTCAAATTCAAAAATGCTGTGGTTTCTGTACACTTGTAGAGGTACTACCTTTATGGTTTTGGATAAAGTCTGGAAGAATTCTCTGGATTACCAGACAGAGACTCTTGTTCAACCATACCTGTATTGGGGGGCACTCTAAACCCAGTAATGGTGTAGTTTTTATATACTTGTAGAGGTGCTACCTTCATAGTCTGGAATAAAGTCTCAAAGCATTCTCTAGGTTACCAGGAAGAGACTCTTGTTCTCTTCCCTTAGTGTCTCCTAAACAAACAGAGTCTCTTTCTCTCTGTGCTGGGCTACCTGAGGCTAGGGGAGGGGTGACACAGGCACTCCTGTGGCCACTACCAGTGGTACTGCACTGGGTCTGACCTGAAGCTAGTACAGTACTGGGTCTCTCCCAAGGCCCACTGTAAACACTACCTGGCTACCACTTATGTTTGCTCATGGTCCTAGCACTCTACAATCAACAGGTGGTGAAGCCATCCAGGCTTGTGTCCTTTTCTTCAGAGCAGCAATTCCTGCCCCCAGCCCTAGACAGGTCTAGAGATGCCATGTGGGAGGCAGGGCCTAGAGTCAGAAATCTTGGAAATCTACCTTGTGCTCTATTCTACTGTGGCTGGGATGGAACCCAAACTGCAAGACAACTGCTTTTCCTCCTTTTCCTCCCCTTTCCATAGGCAGAGGAGTCTTTCCCTGTGGCTGCCACCAACACAGCCCTATGGGGAATATTGCCAGACTACCACCAACATTCACTCAAGAGCCAAGAGCTCTTCAGTCAGCTCATGGTAAATGATGCTAGGCCTAGGACTCGCCCTTCAGGGGAGTGGGTTCCACTCTATCCCAGGGAAGTGCAGGTCTAGAAATGACATCCAAGAGCTAAGGCCTGGAATCAGGGACCCCAAGAGCCCACTTGGTGCTCTATCCCCCTGTGGCTATGCTAGTACCTAAGGTGTAAGACAAAGTCCCTTTTACTCTTCCCTCTGCTTTTCTCAAGCAGAAGGAGTATCTCCTCATAGTTACTGCAGATGGGAATGTGCTGGGTCTTACCTGAAGCCAGGACCTCTGAGGGTGTCACCCAAGACCCATGCCTACCACTTGCTGATTATTTAGGGCCCAAGGGCTCTTTAGTCTGCAGGTACTGAATCCTGCTGGAACTGGGTCCTTACCTTCAAGTCAGCAGGGTTCCTCCTAGCCCAGGATGTGTCTGTAAATGTTGGCTAGGAGCTAGGGCCTGGAATAAGAGCCTCAGGACTCTGCCCAGTGCTATATCCTACTGTGCCTGAGCTGGTACATAAGCTGCAAGTCAAGGTCCTCTCTACTCTTCCCTCCCAAGTAGAAAGGAATGAGCCCTTTTCAGAGCTGCAAGCTGCCCTGCGTGGGATTGGGGGAAGGGTGATGCAAGCACTCCCTTGGCCTCCCCTGCTGATGTCTCACTAGGTCATATTCCCCCTTTCCCTCACCAAGTACACTGGCTCTGAGCCCAATACAGCACTAGAACTTGTGTAGGAGTTACAGTTTGTGGCCACCCTTTCAAGTTTATGGAGGATCATAGAGCACTTTAGCCCATGGTGGTGAGGCTTGCCAGAATTCAAGTTCCAACCACAGGGTTGGGCGATTCCCCTCTGGCCAGGGCTAGTTGAAATGCCCCCTTTGTGGGTATTGGCTGTGTTCTTCCCTGTGTTGCTTTCTCAGTGGAACTCAGGGCAGTACTGAGTTCCAGTGCAAAGTCTCATAATCACTGTGCTCTTCCCCCGACAACAGCACAGATTCTCCACACCACATGGCCACTGCCAGGGGACATGGGAGGGATGGCAACGAAAATTCAAGACTGCCTTTCCTACCCTCTCCAGTGCCTCTTTCAGTGATATGAAGTTAAAACCAGGAGCTACGATCACTCAGTTGATTTTCGGTTGTTGTGAAAGTACTTTTTTTGTGTAGACCGTTGATCAATCTGGTGTTCCTGTCAGGAAGACGGTTGGTGGAGGCTTCTAATAGGCCATCTTGCTCCCTAGTTCCATCAGTTGGGTCATCTCTGTCTTTTCCTGCAGATTACTTCAGTTTGTTTTCCTTTATCTCATTTGTAATTGAATTTGGATATCTGCATAGAAAGTAGTGATATAAAAAGCTTCACTTTTTTTTTTTCTGCTAGACCATTAGTGTTGGAGGTTGGGTTAGTCTTATCAGGCATGTAGGCATGTGTTATGCTTAGAATTTGTTTTTTATATTTTTTTTCAGTGCCTTACCAGGTTCAAATTCCACTAACGTTACTGTGTGCTTAGGGTGGGAGGTTGGGTGAAGAAGGTTTTTCTCAATGTTACTGTTCAACTCTCAGCTTTTAGCATTTCCTATGAAGATGCAACACAAAGGGACTCAGTCTCTATGCTTTTGTCCCTCTTCCTTGTTAGACTGCTCTTGCTTATTACTTGATAATGGCTACTCTGGCAGTGTAGTAAGAGGATTCGGTTTTCTTTTTCAAGCTTCAGTCATAAGCAGGTCTTGTTTGCCTTTGTCTCAGGGACGGGACTTTCTCAGTGACCCTCTCCTGTTTTCTTTAGGCGTCAAACTCTGCCCCATGTCTTTGTTGTGTCTTGTATGGGTAAGAATTTCCTATTCTTCCTCCAGTGTTAGGACATGTGTAATGTTATTGTTGTATTAATACAATCATGGGCATAGGATGACTTCTGGACCCTCTCTTAGTGGTAGTGTTTTCCCCCCTTAACCTTTCCTCACCTGTAATATATTCTGGAGTATATAGAGTTTGCTACTCTAACTTATGCTTTTTATTTGGTTTCAGGGAAAAAAAAATGACAGCATTTCAGACATTTCCCACAGTGGCTTCTACTGTCTCTCAGATTTCCTATGTGAACCCAGTGGATATATATGGGGGAAAAAAAGGCCTGAATACCTGCAACTGTCTTTTTTTTCATTAACTACCAGGGGTCCTGTATTCTCACACAAGCTTACACTCAGCCTTTAGCAATTTATTAACCTTTTTACCTGATTCTTCTTACCTGCTTGCATGACACCCAGAGCCTGCAGTGCTCAGCTACTGATAAGCCAGTGCTTACTCCACCTCTCTTCCCAGAGGAGCTCATTTTTTCATAGTTTTTAGTCTAGTTTGTCATTTTTCAACTATAGTTCTCTGATGGATGTTTAAATTTTATGGCCGGGTGCAGTGGCTCACACCTGTAATCCCAGCTCTTTGGGAGGCTGAGCCAGGCAGATCATGAGGCCAGGAGATCAAGACCATCCTGGCTAATATGGTGAAAACGCATCTCTGTTAAAAATACAAAAAATTAGCCGGGCGAGGTGGCAGGCGCCTGCTAGTCCTAGCTACTCAGGAGGCTGAGGCAGGAGAATGGCGTGAACCCAGGAGGTGGAGCCTGCAGTGAGCCGAGATCACGCCCCTGCACTCTAGCCTGGGCAACAGAGAGAGACTCCTTCTCAAAAAAAAAAATTACCATTTTCTAATTTAGCCAGATGTGTTTTGGATAAGTGGTTGTGACACTCTTCAGCTTTCTCAATCCTATGTAAAAATGTTTTTCTCATATTTAAAAAAAATTAGTGATAACAAAATAATAGATTTTTATGTGCCACAAATTTTATCAGCAGTAGTAATAGATGGCATCTAGTGAGTGCCCAAAGGGTACAAAGAACTCTGCTAAGTGTCTTGCGTGCATTATCTCATTTAGTAATCAGCCCCACCAAATACTTACAAGGTAGGCAATACTGTATTAAAATTTATAGGTAAGACCCTTATGACTCAGAATTGTAGTATAACTTGCCTGTGGTTACATAGTAGTTAGGTGGACCGAGGATTTCAATCTAGTTCAGTCCTACTATTCTGCTTTAAAATTCAATAACTGCCTGAAATATACCAATGAATGCCATTCATAAAATATTGCTTAATTCATGATAAATATACAAAAGGCAATATTTTTTCTATATTGGCCTAAAGGGAACCCAGAAGCTAATTTATACATTCACGCCCATTATTTTTTAGTAAGAGAGTTGGAGTGGTAGGACAGGTGGGTGTCAAACAACATTAGAAACAGATTTCAACAATTTATTCATTAAATGGAATATAATGTAATGGAGACTCCTTTAACCAAAGAGAAATAGTAATTAATAAATAAGTATATTAGTAATAAAGTATATTACTAATTATACTGAATGCAATAAATAGCATTGGTATAGTAGAATCTTATCAGATCATCATCTCCTCTAATGAACTGCAGAGTTCAGCACTACCTAGATACTTTGAATAGCAGGGGCAGGAGGACTTTGTTATGATCATAATACTATATTACATTGATCTTTACTTAAATCAAATTGTGTTTCCTTCTAAATGAAGAAGCTAATGCACTAGTTTAAGAGCCGCAGAGTTCCTAAGGGTTACTGCTAATGTCTGTATTTTTGTCTTGATATGAATACACTGTGTTTTAACTCTGCTGTTTTGATTTTACCTTTACAGATGCATGGTTGAGATTGTGTTCAATTGACTGAAAGATCAGACTTATTCTTCCAAATGCTAATAGAATCATTTCAAATAAACTGTATTTGGGAAAAATTGTCTTCTTAAAATGAAAACTACCACGAGTCCATATCAAGACTTCCCCAGTTGATGTACAGATTTTTCTTTTGTTTCCCACTTTGTCATTGGACTCATGATACTTCTAGTTAATTGGTTAAAAAAAATCTTGGCATAATTGTTTCCCCCTTCCTTCTTAATCCATGTATACATGCTTGAAGAGATAGCATAAAATAATGAAAAAAATTGTTGATTTTGTCTCTTGCTGCTTATAGGACTTTCTCTTTGCCTGAAAATTTTGAAAGTTTGATTATAATGTCCTGGGGTAGTCTTATTTGGAGTGAATCTTACCAAAGATCTTTGGGTAACAATTCTAGTCTGTATTCATTTAGAAGTGTGACCTCGGGCAGCTGAAGTGACTGGAATATTGGAGGGGAATTATATGGCATCTCCTAAGATTCCTTTCAACTCAAAATTTGAATGACTTAAGATTTCTGTTGCTTTCAAGCCAACATTTGTGTTTATTATACTGTAACCATATTCTGTTCTCTATTTTTCACATTTCCTGTGGATCATTTTATGTTTGACAAGAGAGTAGATTTCCGAGTTCTGCATTAGAAAGAGACATCACAAATCCTCTTAGAAAAAAGTTAAATTCTCTCAAAACCTAACTACTGGAGTGTGGGAGGCAAGAAATATGATCCTTGGCAAAATGGTTGGCCCCTAATCTTTTTCATTACACTAACATAAAAAGTCTGCAGAGTCATGGATTTTGGTATTTCAAAAACTAGTATCACGCAATCCTCAAGAACCATCATTTGGTATGGTGGCTCACGTCAATGTCTACTGTACTTAAAGAATCTCTGGTTAAAGTTCAGAAAAAGTGAAATGAAAAACATGGAGGTAATAAATCCATATCTGCTTGGGAGCAAACTTGCTACAAATAAATCATAGGCCTTTGATTAGAAAAAGCATATGTAAGTATTTGACAGTTTTTAAGTACCAATGTTCCTTTCCCAAAGCAATCTGCTGGTACAAGTGTACGTGAAGCTGCTACAATTGTTTGGGCTAGAATTTGTTAGAGCTAGAAACTCATATGACCTCCCCAAAGGCCATTGAGGTTGTTAGTCATGTTAGAGAGCAGATGTACCCTGGGTCAACATTTGGATGTTCTTGAGGAAAATGAATTGTAGAATGAGCCTGCATCTTAGAGGTAGTCCTGTAAGGAGTCTAACTGGTACACCTGGCTAATTTAAATAATGCAGGCTCTCTCACGCTCTCCTGAAATTAACATAAGGTTTCTGTTGCTTTAAAACCAACATTTGTGTTTACTATACTGTAACTGTATTCTGTTCTCTATCTTCCACATTTCCTGTGGGTCATTTTATGTTTGGCAAGAGAGTAGATTGAGAGTTTTGCGTTAGAAAGAGGCCTTAGAGTCTTGCTGAGTCTCCTCCTCCTTTAGAGACTCTTGCTGAGTCTCCTGGACTGACTTTGGCTAGCAGTGATGTCCCAGGGTACCCCAGCACTCACTCTGTTTCACCCCTTAGTGTGCTTGCCAACCCTCTTCTCTTAACTTCTAAGAAGATCAGATATCCTACAAGCTCCTGGACTTTGACTATTCTTACTAGGGCATTACAGAAGATTGGGATATTAGAATGTTGCTGCCACACTGATTCTCAGTGACCTCACTCACTCATGGGGGAGACTGATACAGTTTGGGTATTTGTCCCTTCAAAATCTCATGTTGAAATGTGACCCCCCAGTGTTGGAGGTGGGGCCTAGTGGGAGATGTTTGGTGGATTCCTCATAAATGGCTTGGTGCCCTCCTCACATAATTAGTAACCTCTCACTCTATTAATCCTCGTGAGATCTGATTGATAAAAAGAGCCTGGCACCTCCTCCTCTCTCTCTTGCTTCCCTTCTCACCATGTGACACTCTGGCTCCCCTTGCCTTCCACCATGAATAAAAGCTTCCTGAAACCTTACCAGAAGCCAGATGTTGGTGCCATGCTTCTTGTACAGCCTGCAGAACTGTGAGCCAAATAAACCTCTTTTCTTTATAAATTAACCAGTTTCAGGTGTTTCTTCATAGCAGTGCAAAATGGACTAATCCAGGGACCCAGGAAAAGTTCAATGCTCTGGGCCAGTGGTGGTCCATTCCCTGACCTGGACATTGAGTTCTACACAGAGGTCAGAGCTCTTATCTATTCCCACCACTGCTGCCTCAGGTGTACAGCACCTTAGGGTGGCATGGGTGGTAGCAGGTACCCTGTATCTCCCACTGTTGGCATCCAGGGTAATCACTCCCTCTTCAGGATCCATGTTACATGTAAGGCATTTTCTTGGGGAAACTATATCCATCTATCTCTGAGGAATTCTGAAACTAGAGCTCCACAATGCCAATTTCTTGCCACCAACTGATGTGTTGACACTGTGCCCTCTCAGGTGGGTCCTTAAGCCTTGCCAGGTGCCAATTAGGGACAGCCATTTCCCATGTGAATGAGTTGCTCTTCTTTCACCTTGTCTATCTTTCCCACTGATGACAGTGTGTGGAAAGCAGGAGTGTGGTAGATGTTGAAAAAAACCATAGGAATAGAGTGATTACAGCTAACGAGTTTAAGAGAAGACATGGTTAGAAAGTGTGTTATTCTGTCTTTATGCTATATGATTCTGAATGGTGAATTTAGCGTGATCAGAAGATAATCATTCATTCACATTTTCCTTTATACTCTGTAAGATTTGCATTTGTGTTATCAATGAAGCACAGTAACAACCATGAGAGTTGTTGGAAGCAAATATCTAAGGGTGTCATGATAAAATGAGGCAGCCTCATGAGTAAATGGTATTACCAGCACTAACTAAATTGTATTAGGGATGCTGACAGAGGCAAGAAAATCTTGTTTCAATACAAACAGTTCCTGAAGAGCCATGGCATCATGGGTTACTAGCATTGCTGTCTTCTCCGTACAGTGGGAGATAGGAAGTTAGTCTGGACCGGCATATTTGACAATAAAGAACAGGAAGAAACAGTTTCCGGACCTGAAGAGAAAGAGGTGGTACATAGACACTAGGAGGAATCTCTTTGTGCCCTGAATGGACAGTAAACACATACAGAGCACTACTTCTCTGCTTATAATTCTAAAATAAATTATACTTCACAAGGACCTATTGGGAGTCTGAAAAAATGTTTGCCTGAGGCCCCGTGTACCGTAGCAGTGACCTTAGAGAATGACCAAAGCAGGTAAATTTCCTTTATAAACTGCTGTTGTTAACATAAAAAGATAAAGGGGGAGCATGAAGAAATGTCATCTATTCCTCCTCAGTAAAACACATACAGTGAGAATTTAGTGGAATACAAACGAGGCAACATTTTGTGTATTGTTTCAGTGGCAGCACAGTGGGGGCCATTGTGAAATGGACATAGATAAAGGTGAGCAGAATGCTCATACGCACCTGTGCAGCTGAAAGAATGTCAGAAGTGATACAGGATAAATCTGTGCAGATCATTCAGGGTACCCCTTTCTCAAGGACCATGCTGAGACAATGAGAGTACATAAGATTTATCTTCTCCCCAAGTATCTTTTATTACTTTTGCATAATAAAAGTTTCATAATCATGAAAAATAGTTATATGTTATTCAGCTAGGGCAGTTCCATAATTTAAAATACCAAGTTGTTTTGTTGTTCCAGAGGTTTGCGCTCATGTACTGAAAGCTATACATATATGTTCATACATTTTTTTTCTTTTGAGACAGGGTCCCACTCTGTTGTCCAGGCTGGAGTGCAGTGGCACAATCCTGGCTCACTGCAACCTCTGCCTCCTGGGCCCAACTGATCCTCCTGCCTTAGCCTCCTGAGTAGCTGGGACTACTTGCACACACCACCATGCCCAGCTAATTTTTGTATTTTTTGTAGAGACATGGTTTTGCCATGTTGTCCAGGCTAGTCTTGAACTCCTAGGCTCAAGCCATCCACACACCTCAGCCTCACAAAGTGCTAGGATTACAGGTGTGAGGCACTGTGCCTTCCCAAAAGCAGTAATTTAAAAAATGAATAAGAGTTGCCCTGTTTACTGATAGGTAGATAACAAATGGCCTAAGATATATTGATATCTTTATTCTTTTAGTTCTTTGTTCTCTGGAATTCTTTCTAATATTTTTACTCATTTCTATGCAAAATTAACATCCAGAGAGTCAATATCTAAAATTAAGAGGAAACTGCCTTGCTATAGTATTACTGAAATAATTGCAAGAGACAGGACAAGAGAAAACATTTTCTTAACTATGCTTATTATTGTAAATAAAATTCATCAGGCTGGTATATTACTTAGAATAATGCATTTACAATAAAATTTAGGTGCTATAGGAATAATTCACATGGAAATGCAAATATTTTAGCTAGTCAGATATAGAAGCAAGGCATGAACTACATTGTTATACTAGCTTAAAAAGTTAAAAGCCATAAAATCATCATCTGTTTCTTTGACCATCTTTTAAAAGAAATATCTAAAAGAGATAACCTAATAGGACATGTCAGTGATGCTACTTAAACAATCCCAGAAAGACTTAATAGATGTTTAAAAGAATAAATCAGCCAGGTGCAGTGCCTCATACCTGTAATCCCAGCACTTTGAGAGGCTGCGGTGGGCGGATCATCTGAGGTCACGAGTTCAAGACCAGTCTGGCCAACATGGCGAAACCCTGTCTCTACTAAAAACAGAAAAATTAGCCAGGCGTGGTGGTGCATGCCTGTAATCCCAGCTACTCAGGAGTCTGAGGCAGGAGACTCGCTTGAACCCAGGAAGTGGAGGTTGCAGTGAGCCGAGATTGCACCATTGCACTCCAGCTTGGGCAACAAGAGTGAAACTCCATCTCAATAAATAAATAAATAAATAAATAAATAAATAAATCTACATTTATTTCATTTGTTGTATGTATTCATTAGGTAAAAATTAGAAAAACAAAAACTGAATTTGAATGAGATGTAAATCTTCCCACAGCTCAATATTCCAATCCTTTACCTATATAGGTACCTGTTTGATGAATGGACACATATTTATTATGCATGTCATATTTTGCATACAGTTGCAGCCTGCTTTTTTACTCATTATATCACATATTTCCATGTAAACGATACACGTGTATTATCTAGATTATTCAGTGGTTTCTAGAATTGCGCCCTGTGAAGGTACTGCAATTTATTTAATTATTCCCCTGTTCTGGGAAACGTGGGTTGTTGGTAAACAACCCTGTGATGAACACGATTGAAAACTTATCTGTGTGCACTTGCTTGATATTTTCTTAGGATAAGAGTAGGGGAATCATTGGGTCAAGGGGTGAAAACATTTTAGGAACTTTTAATACATATTATTATATTGTCCTCCAGAAATGTTATTTGCTGTGCTTTTCTTCAGCAAAGGGATATCAAAGGGTTTTTGAATGCCTAAGTAATCACTTTGTTTTACCGACTTGCATCACAAAATACTTTATGCTCTGTTTCTGTTTGTGTTTAATCAATAATGACTTCTAAACTTTGATGTTTAAGTGACTTTGTTATGATTTACGTTATAATCTGGAAACAAACTCATTTATACAAAAGGGAGGAAATCTTCATTTAATCCTTTGTTAAAACAATTAAATTTTTGTAATGAAAATAATCTACCCTGATTAATTTTATTTGCAAATGCCAATATTGGCATTAAGATATCTTTGTAGAAAAGTTTTATTGATATTCTGCTTTTTCCAATTGGGTATATACTAACTGATGTTTATATTTTTATTTTAAAAGCTTGATAATGGATACTCAATTTTTATTAGTGCTTGCATATGAGTATCACATTTCTACTGTTTTAAAATTTTAATAATACACTACCCTAGACTTCATCATTTCATCCTTCTGTATCATCCCTCTAAAAGCCTGTTTCAAAGGCTTAAAACTCCTGGAAAGTTTGTTTTGTTATTCTGCTGAAATTTACAGTTGTTTATTCAATTTAAGAACAAGAAACCAAGATGCATTTTTCTTACCCGTTAAACTTTTTTTTCTATTTTAGAAAATTTATAAAAACAAAATTAGCAGCAGGTTTGAAAATTCCATAACAGTACCATCTGTTCAAGGAGATGAGAAACATACTTCAAAAATAACTTTTCAAGCAATGGTTCAAAGATATGTGGGTTCTGGGATTTCCATTATTAGTTTTAGTTTTTCCATTCCCCGGAAGCATTTTCTAAGAAGTTACTTCAGTTACTGGGAATTACTGGGAATGACTCAGATTTGCTGTTGTTATTTTGCTTTGAAACAACTTTTTATTATTAGAAAAAATTAATACAGTTTGAGTATTTCTTATCTGAAAGGGTTGGGACTGGAAGTGTTTTGAATTTCAAATTTTTTTCAAATTTTGGGATTTTTGCATATACATAAATGTATCATTTGTGTATACATAAATACCTTGGGCAGGAAACCCAAGTCTAAACACAAAATCCATTTATGTTTCATTTATGCCTTATACACATGGCCCAAAGGTAAGTTTATACAGTATTTTTAATACTTTTGTGCATGGAACAAAGTTTGTGTATTTTGAACCATCAGAAAACACAGTCCTGGTTTAAAGGAACAGATGATAACATAAATTGAAAGTTTCACAAAAACTATTTCAATATAGCTATACATACACACTTCCAAAGTATGTAAACATTGAAGTTTTTAACCTTCACTTAAGCTAATTAAGTATATTTAGAAGTACATTAAATCATTTTAAGTAAATGAAAACTACCTATAAATACATTAAATCATGAGATGATACAGAAAAGAAAGAAAAGTATTGCAGATTTAATAATGGCATGTAATTCATTTCCATGAATTTCAAATAACACACTCCAAATTTGCATGCACACGTTATTAAGTATATGGTAAATTTTCATTTGTGCTAGTGACAGCAAAGGCGGTTGCCAGTTCATGAGTATATTCTAGGCAATTTTCTGAATGATACACTTCTAATTACAACACTTTGTTAAATCATGTAACACTTGGTCCCATGGCATCCCTCCCTGCTCTGCTGGTGGCATCAGCTTGAATTACTGCATTTAGAAATGTAAGGCTGCTGTTTTACTAATTGAGACTGCTTCTGTGATAAGCCTAGAGGAAAAAAAGCTATGCTGATTCACAAAAGAAAGACCTTTACATGACAAAATACTTTGCCATAGTGAAGTGTATAGAAGAGTAAAGTATAACGTGAAAAAGCTTCGCTCCAGTAGCCTCTCTTGAAGTTACTTTAGTGTAGAATACTGAACATTCATAAATGCTTTTAGGGGTTTTATTCATTTGAATACTTACAGAGCAAATCAATGGAAGATATTTTTCTACTATGAAATGCTGAATACTAGAGATTTTAGAAAAACAATTGGTAGTAAAATGTTTTTACTTTGTAGCTTATCAAGATTAAAAATAAGCTTCTCCATTTGTTTTGTTCTTTTACTTTGTATATAACCAGCACATATGGTCAGGCCTTGCGAGAGTGGCATATCTGGGAAAGAGGAATCACTTTGTTTCTGCTATATAGTAACTAACAAATAAGCACTCGCATTTCTTGGCTGATTGTCTTTTTGATGTACCATTTCTGTGGTGTTAATAAACATGCATGAAAGTTTACACTGAAACCAGTTTACAGTGAACCCCATTTTTTTGTGACTTGGCATTGAATTTATGAGAGCTGCCAGAACTTATTAATGTGTTCATTTTTTCTCTGTTTAATATTGCACTTTCCATACAAGCTAGGAATAGTGTTGGATGTGTAACATCTATTTTCAGCCATGACTCACTGATTTCATCAGCATATTAGGGTCAACATTCTGAGGCTAAAGAGAAAACAGACTTGGATGTAGAGGAAATGCACACTAACTTCTGATGAGATAGCAAATAAATATAAATACTACATATGACATTTAGTACTTAATATTTCCTATGTAGAATATCATTTATTATACTTATCCCAGCTCTCCCACTTGTTAGCAGTTTGGCCTTGGGAAAACTACCAAACCTCTCTATGCTACAATTTTTTTTTTTTTTTAACCTGTAAGATTGGTATAATAACATTTGTTCCACGGTTATTGTGAGGATGAAATAAGATAATACAAGTAAACTGGAAAAGTAAGCAATCTATAAATGTTAGCTTTTGTTTTGTGCCTTGAATAAAAGTGAAGTTCAATTACTGTTTTTAAAGTACATTGCTGTGGGGAAACTGGCAGAAATTTTTTTCTTGTTTCATAAAGAATATTTGTACTTGTGTAATTGTATTAGTCTGAGTTCTTCAGGGAAACATAACCGTAGGACATCTATCTATATGTATGCATTAGGTTAGTGCAAAAGTAATTGCAGTTCTTGCCATTAGCAGTAATGGCAAGAACTGCAATTACTTTTGCACCAACCTAATATATATGCATATGCCATCACAGTGACTGTTCGTAATTATTCTAGGGCTCTAAGGTAAGCACATAAAGGCAGTTTTTGTATTTATTTGAAGTTTTTATTCACCTTAGAATGTACAGGCTTTCATTGGCAGAGGAGCCCCAATTTGTCCATTACAAACAGAATTTCTTTTGAACTTGTAAGTATTCCCTACTGAAGCTGGTCTGTAGTAATTGAGAATGTTATCCACAAGAAGAGAAAGTGGAGATGAGAGGCTGAGAGAGAAAAGGTTTGGGTGGCAGCAAGTCACTGGTTCTAGACTTTGCCCACTATACCCATCCCTTCTGGGTTGTATGAACTAGTCATTTTCCCTCTTTCTCTAAGCATATATGCATTTCTTCCTGTAACTTATAACCAAAGGAGTAATGACTAATAGAATGAAAGCTATTATATTTTAGGATGGTATTTAACTCTAGAGTTTCAGGAAACACAGCTCATCACATATGCTTTGGGTATCTTTTTAGAGATTAGAGTTATCATGTTAATGCATTCCCTCATTCTCTTGACCTTGAGAAGGCAATACATCCGGCCCCTCCCTCACTCACATTCTGTGTCCTACATTTGATCTTAAAGTTGTATACCTGCTATGTCAATCAAAAACTATTTAAATGATTTAGTAATAAGAGCATTTGAAAACCCTACTTGCTATCTCTTTGACCTTTTTTCTCTTCTCTTCTGCCAATCACAAATTTGCTTCTATCTGTATGTAGAAAGAGTCCAAAATAAAGCAACCCTAATTTAAATTTCATGGAGAAGACTGGGGATCCACAAACAGTGCTTTTTTTGGTAACAGTATACCTAGTGGCGTGTACTAAAATTTCATTCTCAGAAAAATATTGATAGATATTATATGCAGATAAAATAAAACGATTGCTTTTCACTGACTACTTTGTTGGAGAAAATAGGTAAAAATGACAAAACAAATATGCAGTAAGGTAGGGGGTAAAAAAGAGAACAAGAGTAGAAACTACACATTGCAATTCTTAATATGTAACAGGATAGAGTGATTATTTTTTAAAAGTCCCTGCATACTGGGTAGAGTATTCATTTACCACAAGCAGGTTGTCATGTGATTTAGAACAGTGAACTTGCCCAAGAATTCCCATGATCTCTTTCCATATGATAGACGGACTAGAAGCTGAAGATCAGAGTGTGAAGCTGAAGATCAGAGAAGTATGCCTTCTAAACATCAGCGGCAAGTTCCCTTTTCTCCATATCATTAAGTTCTTTCCAGGGATCAAACCCAGTAAGAAGCCTCAAGGGGACATAGGTTTTGGAAACATAGATTTGCAACTTTCCCAATTATAGAAAAGAAAGATTGAAAGGAAACATGAAAATTTCAAATTGGAATCAATGAGAGAACTAAAACTGTTTCAAATGGGATAGGGGAGGGAGTAGGCACAGATAACCATTACCAGAAATTGTAAACTGGGGAGTAGAAAGCAAGATGAATACCTCTTCCATTATGTCCAGACAATTTCTTTACAGCTTACAAAAACTGAAACACAGAAAAAAAAGTCCTTAGTCCTTATAACAAGTAAATTAACAGTGTTTTGAAGAAGAAAGAAGTCCAAAAGGAAAAAGTGATGAATATAATCAGATTTCTTCTAAAGTTTCTGACGTTACTGCATGGAGACCCTAGTTTGATTGTCTTTGGAGCAACAGCAAGCCTGTGGGTTACCCAGATACATGGTCTCTGAAAGGTCACCTTGGACACGACCTAGTTGACCATGTGATCTGTGGAGAGATAGTCTTTATGGGATGTGGTTGGCTGCAGTGTTGATTCTTTTTCCAAACTCAGATGCCTTCCAGAGAGAGCACATGTTTCTGGATTTAAGAAACAAGTAGTGACATGGACCATTCTGCCATAGACAGTGAGAAGTAGCATACATTTTTTTAGCCTTCACACATCTCAGTTCAACCACAATAGATGGATGTGTTAGCAGTTGAAGGATCAGGATTCTCTTTTCTTGATGAAGAAGAAAGTACAGTAGAGGGAGTTATGTGAGAGTTAGTGGAAGGGCACAAGTCATAGCCTTGTGGGAGAAGCACTCCTCTGAAATCTCTCCCAGTTTTTTCATGAACTCCAAAATAGCACTAAAGAACAGAGAGAAGCCAAAGATCAAATTAAGCTGTCTGCATGGGGTCGACTGGAGCACAAGGTAGGCAGTCAACTTTAAAACCTTGGAGAATAGAAACAAGAATTTCAAATCTGTCTTTGGTCAAAATCATGATATGAATGAAACTTCTTTCTGAGATCCTTCATACTATAGTATCCTTTTAATAATTCCTCGTTCAGTATGTAAAACCCTTAAACATAATTTATCTTGGAAGGTACAACATAAAAATGAAGATTGAATTAATGATAGGAGTTGGAACAATAAAACGTAATTTATGAAGAGAGAGTTTATTTTCCTGCTAAAGACTACAGAAATTGATTTTAACAATAGAATAAAATAAAAATGTCCAAGTGGTTACATTTTTAAAATAAAACTTGTAGGAAGTTTACGTGATGAGGGTTCACATTTTAAGTTCAAAACTTAAAACATTAATACCTTGCAACTCAGCTGAAGGTGAAAAATTACGTTACATAGGAAGGGTTATGACATTTGTCTTTCTTCTCAGTGGGGAAGTCTGGCTTCTGCTGGAACCCCACTCGGGAAAGTTACTCCTGAATACAACCTGTAACCATCACCACAGGGTACACTGATAAAAGGTGGCATGGAGACTCGTAAATAGAAGGAATCATTTCTAGGGTAGAAAATAAGGCAAAATAATGACTTTATTATTAGTCTTTTTGAAGGGAATAAAAAAAGTGATAAAGACTCTTACTTAAAAAGAGCAAGTAAGTAATTAAAGAATAAGAATTCTTGACTAATAGTAATAAACTTGGTCCTTGCTGGCCAAACAGACTTAGATCATCAAAGCCTAGGAGAAACCATTCAGAAGAGAAACGTTTCTGTTAGCTGAGGACTTTCTTCAGAAACTTAAAAAGCAAAATGTTTATTTAGGAATGCTACCATGTATAATTAACTCATGGTATATGTAAATATTTTTAAGTTAATTGTGTATTTACCCATCTTGGAGATGCTTTAGTAATTGTTAATAAGACCTTATATTGTTGATGAAGTTACCATTTAGAGAACTAATCTAGGCATAATAATGAGAAGACATATGACTAAAGGAGTCAAGACTCTGGCACCTAGAGTAGTAAAAGACATATGAACAATATCCTTTATAAAATATGTCTTATCAAAGCTTATTTCCATCTGAGAGTGATAGCATTTTGCCATTTTAAGAGGGAGCTCATTATATCATCAGTAAAAGCTGATTATCAATATCGATTCACTGCAACCTCTGCCTCTCGGGTTCAAGCAATTCTTATACCTCAGCCTCTGGAGTACTGGGATTACAGGCACTCACCACCACATCCAGCCAATTTTCATATTTTTTGTAGAGATGCGGTTTCACCATGTTGGCCATGTTGAGGTTGAACTCCTGACCTCAAGTGATCTGCTCACCTTGGCCTCCCAAAGTGCTGGGATTACAGGTGTGAGCCACCACGCTGGGACCTCTCATCACCTCTTAAACCATAAGTCTGGAACTGCTGAATGTGTATTTCCAAATTTTAATTGAACTTGAATCAACAAATTACCACTGAGAAAGCGGGTGGGGGACTTCTAGAGGTAAACGTAGTATCACAGTTAGTGATGAAAGACTGAATGAATTATTTCCCTTTAAGATTAAGAACAAGACAAGAACATCTACTCTTACCATTTTTATTCAACATGGTACTGAAATTCTAAGCCAGCACAATAATGCAAGAAAAATAATTTAAAAGGGCACAGAGTGAAAAAAAGATATAAAACTGCTTATATTTGCAGGCATATAATTGCACAGAATTTCCTGAGGAATCTACAAAAATTCCTAGAACTAATAAATGAGTTCAGTATGGTCACAGGATGAAAGAAGAACACACAAAAATCAGTTATATTTCTATATACTAAAAATGAGAGAAAATCAAATTAAAAACTCCAATGCTATTTATTGCTCCAAATAAATACTTAGTTCTAAATCTAACAAAATATGTATAAGATCTGTAGGCTGAATTACAAAATAATGAAAGAATCATAGAAAACTAATTGGAAGAAGTTTCTGTGTACATGGATTGGAAGGCACAGCGTAATAAGGATGGCAATTCTCCCCAGATTGATGTGTAGGATTAGAACAATTGCTGTACAACTCCAAAAGGTTTTACTAGACATAAAAATGCTTATTCCAAGGTTTGTGTGGAAGGGCAAAGGGCTGAAAATAGCTAACACAATACTGAAAGAAATGAAAAGAATCACTCTCTCCAATATTAAGGCTTACAATATAGCCATACTAATCAGGAGATTGTGGTATTGGCAGAGAGATAGACACATAGATCAATGAAACACAATAGAGAGCCCAGAAATATACCCACACATTTGTGCCCTAGTGATTTTTCTTTAATAAAGGCACAAAAGCAATTCGATAGAGAAACCATAGCCGTTTCAACAATGCTGCTGAAGTGATTGGATATGCACAGGCAAAAAATAAAAAAATAAAGAATAAATAAAGTAAATAAAACAAACATACAAAACATTTTCAAAATGTTTTTGAAACCTTCTAAACCTTCCAGTTTACTCAAAAGTTAAGTCAAATAACTCAAAATGGATCACGGACTTAAATGTGAAATGTAAAAGTTAAAAAGTTTTTAGAAAAAACCAGAAAGTTTGCAGGACTTAAAGCTAGGTGAAGAGCTTTTATATTTGGTGCAAAAGCATCACGATCCATTAAAAGAAAGACAATTTGGACCTCATCAGAAGTAAAACTTGAAGGAAACTGTGAAGGGGATGAAGACACCAGGTACAGACTCAAAGAAAATACTTGCAATCTACATATCCAACAAAGGCCTTGTATCTAGAATATGTTAAAGAATTATCACAATACAATGGTTTAAAAAAACAATTCAGGTAGAAAATGGACAAAAGACATGAAAAGACCTTTCACTTAAGAGGACATAGAGATGGCAAATAAATACGTGAAAAAAATCATTAACCATTAGGGAAATGCAAATTTAAACCAAATTGTGATGTCACTACACATCTTTATAATGGCTAAAATGAAAAAGCTGTTACACCAATACTGGCAAAGATGTGGAGAAACTAAATTACTCACACATTGCTGATGTCAACATAAAATGTTATTATTACTCTGAAAAATAGTTTGTTAGTTTCTTGTAAAACTAAAGTTACGATTACCATATGACTCTGCAATTAGACTCTTGAGATTTTATCCATAAAAATAAAAACATAGTCACACAAAAATCTGCACGTGAACGTTCATAGCAGCTTTATTCATAATAGTCAATACTTGGAAAGAATACGGATGCTCTTAAATGGTGAATGAGAAAACTGCGGTACATACATACCATGGGTTGTTAGGCATCCACATAAAGGAATGAATTCTTGATATCTGCAATAACCTGCATGAATTGCTAGGGGGTTTTGAGTTAAAAGTCAATCTTAAAAGATTATATACTGTATGATTTCATTTATATAGCATTGTTGAAATAACAAAATTATAGAGACGGAGAACAAGTTAGTGATTGCCAGGGTTTAGGGATATAGAGAGGGTAGTAAGTGTAGTGTTAAAGAGGTAGTAAGAGGGAGGTTTGTAGTGAGGAAACAGTTCTTTTGATGATAGTGGTGGTTACACAAAGCTACCTACATGATAAAATCACACAGAATTACATAGCCACATGTGCATGTGCACAGATGAGTGCATGACATACAGAAATGAGTACACGTAAATCTTGTGAAGCCTGAATAAGATTGTTGGGTTTAACAATGTCAGTTTCCTATTTTAATAGCTCTATAAGGTATTACCACTGGAGGAGACTGGGTGAAGGGTGCATAGGACCTCTCTGTACATTTTTTAAGACAAATTCTTGTGAATATATAATTATTTAAAAATCATAAGTTAATGAAATTTCTCAAAGATTATATGTATTATTCTCCAATTCTGATAAGTGTTGCATACAGTTTAAATCATGAAACCAATAGGTAATATAATCAAACAGCATTTGCCTTTAAAAGCTAGAGGGGTGACTTGATAGGCTTGTTTTGGTATAAATAGTCATATAGCATACCTTGCATTGAGAAAAATTATATGAATAATCAAAATGTAAAGAAAAGGCAAACTTCTCTGAAAGGTGAATTAGCAGATATAAGTACTTCAGCTGAAAAGAGAACCTAAGCGCTCTGTCATGCTAGACAAATTAAAACTCTATTTTAAAGTCTAGCTGTGGGATAATAAATGTGTTAAATACTTTGTATACTAAGCATGGAGAGAATAAGGACTGATTTTATTTTATTTTATTTTAATTTATTTATTATTTTTTGAGATGGAGTTTCACTCTTGCTGCCCAGGCTGGAGTGCAATGGCACAGTCTTGGCTCACTGCAACCTCTGCCTCCTGGGTTCAAGCGATTCTCCTGCCTCAGCCTCCCAAGTAGCTGGGATTACAGGCATGTGCCATCATGCCTGGCTAATTTTGTATTTTTAGTAGAGATAGGGTTTCACCATGATAGTCCGGCTGGTCTCAAACTCATTACCTCAGATGATCTGCCAGCCTCGGCCTCCCGAAGTGCTGGGATTACATGCATGAGCCACCGTGCCTGGCCAGGTCTGATTTTAAAAACAAAGCAGGCGGTTCAAAATATGATTGATAATTTTTAGTTATTAGGTAAAATGCAATTCCACTCAGCACTTGGTTTCATACACCTGATAATCTCTAAATAATATTCTCTGTTTAGATACAGTGATGGTTTCTTGATTGTGAGTCCATAGCTTTTATATATTTTTTGCATGGTCTAAAAACCTTTCAACCCCAATTTAAGACCTTACTAAACAACAGATACTTTTTTCTATGGTCTTGAATATGATCTTTAAATAGTCCTAGAAGATTGTCAGTAGTATTCTCGTTGTGCAGCTTAGAGAACTAAGGCTCAGAGGTTAGATGCCTTGCCCAGTGTCCACACAATTAGCAATAAGTGGTATATTCAGGAATAAAACTCTAGTTTTATTCTAGTCTGACTCCACAACACACTTCCTTTTTTCTTTCCTCTATTTCCTACAGAGTCCCCCTCTGGGGGCTGTGAGTGAGAAGGTTGCCAATAATACTTAGTAAGCATAACTCATATAACCATGAATTTCAACTTCAGGTGCAATTGGTTACACAATGTGAATTTCCTGATCAATGGCTCCATACCTATGACATAGTAATAATGAAATACATATGCATCATGGTATTTTCTCAAAGCATGTCATGTCATGTCATGTCACAGTTATAGTTAACTGTGATATCCACGTTCTGGGATTTTCTTATAGGAGCCAGCTTACTAACAACCAGTACACAATGAAACTCTTTCTCCTAGAAACAGACGTGAACCCACAGGGTCATTTTAGGGTATGGCTTTCCTAATGTCAGTGACCTGGTTTAATATTATTCTACAGTGTTTGTAATATGTTAACTTTCAAGGTGGCCGAGTAAAGGATGTACTGGACTTCCTGTACATTTCTCTGCAATGTCCCTCAGATTCTATAGTTATTGCGAAGTAAAAGTTACAAAACCAACAATTGTTTGGCACATAATTGAACTCAGGTCAGTTATCTGAATATGTGGTTTCCTACTAAATGTGGCACTAGACTATGTGTTTTAGTTTCACATAAGTGGTACAGATGAGAAATGCTTCCATGAGTTGGAAGAGACCATTGAGAGGTTAGAGTCATGAGAGACAAGGTTTCATGAAAAACAGATATTTGAGTTAGACCTTGAAGAGTATCATTTTTCTTAGCACATTAGCGTTAAGAAAGGCAAGAATGATTAGATAAGAGTGGGAGCAAATAAAAAGGGGAGGAAATGGGTGTGGTAGGCAGAACAGAAATGGACCAGAGGAATCAGCTTATGAGAAGCCGGGAGAGACAAGGAGGGCTCTGCCTGTTCCTAAATTGTCTATGAGAAGTCGGTGGAGATGGAAAGGCCCCGATACAGGACTTCTGGAGGAAAAGCTCCCCTGTTCCATATTGAAAAGATCATCCTATGGTCTTTTCTTTTTTAAGGAAAAAGTAATAAAGTTGTAATGGTTTTTACTGCCTGGGTTCACCTCCCACCTCCACTTGTTACCAGCTGAGTGGCTTGTACAAGTTTTGACCTTCCTAAACTTCAGTTTCCATATCTGTAAAATTATGGTAATAGTATTTCCTCAAAGAATCATTGTAAGCACAAATAACAAATGTTCAGATGATTGCTTCAAAAATGTTCAATTAATGGAGATGGCATTGATGATAATGATTCCTTTCTCCCCAATAACTATGTTTTTTTGTGGTGGGAGTACAACTTTCCAGAATTGAGGACCTGCCATATTAAGACTTAGGTCTGCCATAAAATGTGAGATATTATTAAAATCTTGATGTTATTGTGGTTCTCTCTCCTTTCTTGGACTAGCCATACTTTGGTTTCTTTTTCCCGGACAATACACACATTGCACTCAGTTCTTGTCCCGTTTTTGACCTGCTTCATTGCTGCTAGGTAGTTTCATACACTAACACTTCCATGGGTTGGCAAAGATTACTGCTTTTAATTAAGACATTGGTCAGTAATTAGGACTTCTTGGTAAAATCAAATCACAAGCAAAATTTGACAAACTTAATAGGCTCATGGTGAGTGTATTAGTTAAGATTATTTGTTCCTGGCTATATAAATACAACCGACTGATTTAAACCAAGGGAAATGTATGGCTAGAATATTGCATGGCTCCTTGGATCATCAGGAACAGTGGACACAGAGGATAAGAAAACAGGCAGAAAGGAAATGAGGTAGATAGCATTCCAACCCTTTGCCAAGGCTATACCAGAGTGTCAGTCCAATGAAGCCACTGCTGCTCTGGTACAGATCACAGCTTGCCACCTCCTGTCCTACTATCCCTGGATGCTACTGCAGACATGTCTTCTATGACTGCCCCAGCCATTAGATGTCTCTACCCAGTCATGACAGCAGAAAATAATTCTTCATTACCACTGTTTCTAAGTTACGAATTCCATATTAAAATGCTAGCAGGATGTACCCATATCTGAGCCCAAGTTTAGTGCTCAAGCACTAGCTGCAGAAAGGGCTGGCAAAGTGAGAAACTTTGGCAGCTTCTGTGGTAAGAAGTAGGCTGTGTCTTCTACAAGTTTCATGAGATAGAGAATTCCCTAAACTTAAAGGAATGCTGGGAAGTCTACAATTGGTAAATTTCCATCTAGAAAGGTAGAAACGGGAGCCCTATGGGAGGGCAGTGATTCTTAAAATCAGAGTGTATTAGTGGTTGTTCTTATTTTTATCTATGTAATGAGTCTGCTTCTCTTGCACTTTGTTTCTTTACAATATTCCTAAGAAGAGTCTCATTATGACCTCAATAACACAGTTGATAAATGAGGTTTTTTAAATTGGTTGTTCATAGCTAGATTTTCAGCTCTCACTCTCTCTTTTATATCCCTAGTATTTGTATAGAATGAAATATGAGGAGCAATTGAAGCAGAAATTAATCGATGGAATTCCAAGTAGGAAGGAGCTGAGTTCAGATGCCAGCCCTGTCACTATCTAGTTGTGTGATTGGCAACATCATTTAATCTTTCTAGACCTTAGTTTTCTTCTCTATAAGATGGGGATATTATTACCCAATTTGAAAACTGATCCAAAGTTTAAAAGATTGCTTTTAAATTAACCTGGTAGAATGCCTAGCATAAAACAAAATATTAGATAACTAACAAATGATAACTTTTTTGTTATTTTTGTCTTCCTCTCTTAGAGAGTCATTGGCTACAAGGACTTTAGTGTATCTGCAATGCCTACAAATATTTTCTTTTTCTTGTTTCTCCTTCAGTCCCTCCTAGTTCCATTGTTTGCTGTGATAGCTACTGAGCTTTGTTTGATTGGCTACAGTAGTCAGACATCCAGAAAGATTGTAGTCTGCCATCCAGAAGATTTATTCTTCCTGTTGGACAAGGATGAAGCTATCCATAGCACTTGGGAAGAAGTCTTTCTTACTAGAAAAACAAAACAAAACAACAAAAAAGGAAAAGAAGTAAAGATTGGGAAGGGATGTGTCTTGTAGATCTGCTAGTGAGCAGCATATCACCAATAGAGCTGGACAAAACTAGCAATATGTTACCATTGAAGCTGGTAACACTTTATCTAGAGGAATGCACTACACAAATAACTTGCAACTCTGTAATGCCCGACTACATTCCTGGAAAGCTGAATGGCAACCTGAAACTCTCTTCTCTGTTTACCCATGTAAATCTGTCCAAGGGAACTCAGGTCTCAGCAGCTTATTTTCTTATTAATAAAAGCACAGAGTGATATGAAATTAACATATGTATCAACAGAAGCACAGATTGCATAAAGAGATCAGAATTCTCTCAGGATGATTCTGCCCATTAAGATAACTGCAGGGCATAATATTTCATTATGTGCATTCTAATTGAGGAAATAAACTTTCATTTTCTCTATTTTTGATATCAGCATTTGGGAATATTGAGACAATTTAGAATAAGCTCTGGCTTGTATAGACTTGAAAAGAAAATGAAATTTGTTTTTAAGCACTTACACATTGAACAGTAGCTCTTAGAAAATTTGTTAACCTGGGTCATATTTACACTCCTATTGCCAAACCAATGATTCGCTACTTAGGATGAATTTATGGTCCTTTCATTACTTAACAGTTATTTGTGTCTTAAACTAAGAAAGACAGTACCTAAATATAGAAAGTGTGTGCAAATGAGCCTGTATATGAATTTTAGTTTGTAGTTGTAATGGAGTATCTAACTCAACATGAAAAACTGGAGTTCCTAGGGCACAGGATTTAATCTAACAAATAATTATCTTTCTCAATAGTACCATAAAGAGAACCCTAATTAATGTGCTAACAGCTACTCCCTGTTTACAGGGCATTATCTCAGGTCTTGAGCTGTAACAAATATACATGAAAATTAATGCTCACAGAGCAGAGAAAGAATACATTTAATTGCTAGAACTATGCTTGTGAGACATTTCAATCAGAGACAGCACAAGAAGGGAATCTTAAAAAATTATCTCCTTGAAGTCCAAGCCTAAAATGAGCTATTCCTTATAAAATAATTTACTGTTTTGTTATCTACAGACATAACCCAGAGGTCATCTCCAATTCCCTCCTGGAATTAAATAACCTTGGAATCTTACACATTAGGGACCCTGGAGGTCACTAGTCCAATCCATATCTTAGATATGGGTCCTTGACAGATGGTTTTTTAATCACTAATGGGATCTATCCAGTGTTAGGAAGCTCACTGGCTCTTAAAGCAAACTTTCCCAGATAAACAGTTTAACAATGAACATGTATTATTCTAAAATTATTTTCTTGAAATGTGGCCTGATTTTTTTCTTTGTTCTAGCTTCTGAAGCCGTTTAGAAGAAGCGTAGACTATTTTTATCCATAGTAGCCCTTCAACTTTAAATTGAAATATATAAACATGTTTCTCCCATATTGTCAAACCACATATTTCCTTCTTTTTCAAATGTTACTAGTGTATTCTGGTTTTCTAGAATTAAAATATCATGGGGCCTCCACTTCCAGCAATGTTGGCTTAGGTAAACTTGCTATTGAAAGCAACTTATCATTTTGGAGGGGAAAATTGAAATATTTTCCAAAATATGTCAAAATACTAACAATATGATCAGAGCAGAGGATGAGAACCTAGAAGGGTCAGTAAAATACTTGGACAGCTTTTACCCTGGGGTCACTTATCAATGCATAATACACAGGCTGAGACACTAGGCCATACTTCTGGTGACCCTCAATTGGATAGGGAGACAAAACCCAGTATCTGGGACTCAACAATGGTACAGATTCTAGAAAATATCCTTCGTTTGGCTTTAAGATCTTTCATTTAAACATAAGGGCAGACTAGAAATAAACAAACCCTAGGATGGTATACAAGCCCTGCTTCATATCATCTGGGTTCCCTAGAAAATCTTAAGACTTTAACATATATAAAGATGATCCTGAACTGTTAGTTCCCCACGCATCTGACTGAGGCAAATGAAAAATAATCCCTGTCAGAAAATATTATCATTTTATAATTCAAATTATTTCTACAAATAACTTTTCAAATGCAGCCTTTAATGATTCGTTAAAAATAACTAGGCACATGAGAAGACAAGATAACAGGTGCAAAAATATAAGAAAAGAAAAACAGACAAAGGTAACATAGAGATTAGAAATAATTGGAATTATCCAGTCTATCACTGATGGGCATTTGGGTTGGTTCCAAGTCTTTGCTATTGTAAATACTACTGCAGTAAACATATGTGTGCATGAGTCTTTATAGTAGAATGATTTATAATCTTTTGGGTATATACCCAGTAATGGAATTGCTGGGTCAAATGGTATTTCTGGTTCTAGGTCCTTGAGCAATCGCCACACTGTCTTCCACAATGGTTGGACTAATTTACCCTCCCACCAACAGTGTAAAGTATTCCTATTTCTCCACAGCCTCACCAGCATCTGTTGTTTCCTGACTTTTTAATGATTGCCATTCTAACTGGTGTGAGATGGTATCTTATTGTGGTTTTGATTTGCATTTCTCTAATGACCAATGATGATGAGCTTTTTTCATATGTTTGTTGGCCACATAAATGTCTTCTCTTAAGAAATGTCTGTTAACCTTCACCCACTTTTTGATGGGGTTATTTTTTTCTTGTAAATTCAGCAAACACAGGAACAGAAAACCAAACACCACATGTTCTTACTCATAAGTGGGAGTTGAACAGTGAGAACTCATGGACAAAGGGAGGGGAACATCACACACCAGGGCCTGTCAGGGGATGGGGGGCAAGGAGGGGGAGAGCATTAAGACAAACACCTAATGCACACGGGGCTTAAAACCTAGATGACCGGTTGACAGGTGCAGCAAACCACCATGGCACATGTATACCTATGTAACAAACCTGCATGCTCTGCACATGTATCCCAGAACTTAAAGTAAAATTATAAACCAAAAAACACAAACAAAAAAAGAAATATTAGAATTATCAGACATAGATTATAAAACCAATGTCCTTATTAAGTAAAAGTAGATAAAAGCAAAGTATAAAAATAAGGGAACTGGAAACTATAAAAAGTGATATATACTGTATTTTAAAAAGAAACAAAAATAAATTCTAGAACTGTAAAAACAGAACATTAAAGGAGTTATTATAACTAGATCCCTTATGTTCAAGAAGACAGAAAAAAGGATAAACATGTTAAGGCACTACGTAAAAGAATAAAGACCCAAATAGAACATCTAGAGAGGAAATATCCATTCTGTGACTTCTTGGTTCCTACATTCATGCCTCATGCCTACTTAGGGATACAGAACAACAAAGGGGTCTCTTAATTTAATGATTATGCTACAACTTAAAGGATGAACCCCAGCCCTTCAGAGTGTTGTCTCTGAGCTAGTAGCTCAGCTATCCTTTAAGAATGTTATTTCAGTGCTCTATGAGACTTACTGTTACTGAGTGGTATAGTATACGTTATAAATAGTGGGCCCTATGATGGGTGTAATCCTACGACAGCCCACTCTCACATGTCCTTTTCTGTAAAGTGGGTCACCTGGTCAGATGCTATGCTGTGAGATTTCATGCCTGTGAATCGGGCATTCTGTAAACCCTCAGACGGTGGTACTGACTGAGGCTTTGCAGGCAGGAAAGGAAAACATGTGCCTGAAGTTCTTACCTACCACTGTTAAGATGAACCATTGACCTTTCTAGGATAGATGAGGCCTGATGTAGTCAACTTGTCACTAAATCATCATCGGTTGGTCTCCTCTAGGAATTTTGACATATTGAAGGGTCAGCATTGGTGTCTGTTATAACAGGTAGGATATTCAGAAACCACAGATGCTGGATCTGCTTTAGTAAATACCATTTACTAAATGTGGAGTCTATACCATTGGCTCCACACACAGACTTTGTCTCTGCTACCATGACTACTACTTTCATATTACAGTTCTAAGGTAACAAAAATTAACATCAACCAGCCAAGACATGTTGTCTATTTGGTTTTTCAGTGCCTTTTCCATGTGGATGCTTTCTAGTATATGTTAATGACTTTGTGGCTGGTACTATCTGTTTGCCCATGTACTTCTAGTGCACAACTCCTTGACTTCAGTCATCTAGTGCTTTCCCTTCCAGACCTCTGATCATTCATCCAGGCCATTGGCCGCTGACCAGAAATCACTATATATTTTCACTGTGGGCCACTTCTTAACCAGGTGCACTGTTGACAGCTCTGCCCATCAGAGAGATTTTTATCTCCACAGTCTTTCAAGACCACCCATGAGTAGGACTTTAATGCAGCCGCTTCCATTTTTAGCTTGCATCCACTTATTAAGCCAACCAATTATAAGCTAAGCTTGGGGTTTTTCTTCCTTGTCCTTTAATGAATCAAATGGGATTACCACCCCCAACCAAATCAGCCAAAGGTATGAGTTCAGGAAGGGATATTTGTGTTTCCATGTCAGGTGATATGGGGGTTTGCATATCTGTTAATGTTGCTCTGTCATGTCCTCTGGTCCTCCTTGGGTTCAATCCCATGGTTATATTTCTATCTTATGAAAGTCTGTGCTAGGATTATCTCATTTTGTGATTTGGTGGGTCTGACAGAACCTAACTCATTATGAACAGTTCTAGACCCATGGACACTTGGTGCTCCATGGTCAAGTATTTCATCTCTATACTAGCATTAAACTAGCACACTAAAAATTGTTCTTTGAAAGGCATATAATTCTATGACTTTCTGCAGAATCTTAACGTCCTTCTTGGGTGGTTTGCCTTCTGTATCTTCCCATGGCAATGCAACTTTCTGGTGGGTCTGTGGCTTCACACAGTTTATTCCTCCCAGCATGTCCATGTCCCTCAACTTCTTTATTCTTTTCTTCACTATCTGACAGTGCAACTCAGTTGTCTCCACTTCACTTAGCATTGCTTTTTCCAGGCTTCTAATTGCCACTTCAACAATAAGTTTGCTTGATCTCCTAGAATTCTTGCCCCAGAGGATGTCCTGAGAAAGTGCCTTTCCAAGTCTATGAATTCTTGCTTATTCCATCTTATGTTCTGACTCTGCTGATCAAGCACCCTCAAAATCCAATCCGAGGAGCCCTCACCTGGTTCCTTCCAGTACAAGCTATCTAATTCTTACACCCACTTTGGCATATAGCTTTTTCCTTCCTTATCATGTCTAATATATCCAGCTCAATTATGCTGGGATTTAACCCAATTATTGGAATGGCTGTCAGAAAAGCAGATGGAGGTGCACCTAAGGTGAACGTTTATTGCTTTGCATGGAGGGGGTCTCTGTAATATCTTCTAATGGAGGAGAAATGCTAGTTGTTATCAGAAAAAAAGCCCTCTGCCAGGCCTACGGGTCTAGGGTATTCGACACGGCCAACTTCTTTGGAGGCATCCCCTTTCACATCCCCATCCTTTCTGGGTTCTAGGCTTTCCCATGCAAGACCCTAACAGATTCATCTTCACTGAGAATTGAAATGTCATTTTTTTGTGACTCTATCAGATTATCAGTCTGCTGCTTAGCTACCTCTGTTCTTCTGTGAGAGATGGAATCATTCTTCTAGGTTCTAAAGAGGCTCTCTTGTTAGAGATTAATTGTTTTCAGTGGCCTTCAGTTTCTCATTATCTCTCTACATAGAGACAGTACAACATTGCAGTAACCAACCAACTCTATTGTTATCGTAGCGATTGCCTACATGTTGCCCATTGCCTCCCCACTGCCCCCATCTCTTTCAGATGCCTGAAACATCTCACCTGCAAAGGTATGGAAATGACTGCTGCACTAAGATGCTTCCTTGGTGACCAGCAGTGAAACCTTCAGCAACTGAGTTGTCTGCTTGTGCCAGGGACTACTCTACCCCATTCAGGGTGGTGTCCTTCTCACTCTTTGGACATTGAATAGCCTTAGCATGAAGGTAGAAGATGATCCAGGGGAGCACCAGCTGGGGCCATCAGCAAGTGAAGCTCTTCGCAGCACGAGAGCTGACTGGTGCATTTCCATGGCTGCTGTACAAGATAATATATGAAATTGTTTAAATAATGTCCTATTTTTATTACCATTGCCACAGGATATAATCTGTCCTAGTCCAGTTTACAGCTTGCAGATATTCTTTAATCATCTCTTTGTCTACAACAGACTTTAAATCATTTAACAGTTTTTAACATATTTCAGAATGGAGAACATTCTCTTTGAAGAAAAAAAAATGTGGTTTTTGTCTCTTTATTCATTCACCTCTTATATTCCCTCTTCCTTACCTGTCTTTATTCCAGATAGTGGTGTTTGCAGCTATGACATTGTGGCGTTGTGGTTATTGTTCTCTCTAGAGAGAGAGAGAGAGAGAGAGATGGATTTTTTTTATTAAAGCAATGGGTCTGAGGATTGATGGAAAAAAAGAAAGAGTGGACAGTATAACTTGGCTGTCACTCTTAAATCTTCTTTTTGATAGGAACTCTTCTTCTTCTTTTTTTTTTTTTGAGATGTTCAAAATGGAGTTTCACTCTGGTTGCCCAGGCTAGAGCGCAATGGCGTGATCTAGGCTCACTGCAACCTCTGACTCCCTAGTTCAAGCGATTCTCCTGTCTCAGCCTCCCGAGTAGCTGGGATTACAGGCATGCACCACCACACCTGGCTAATTTTTTATTTTTATTAGAGATGGGGTTCCTCCATGTTGGTCAGGCTGGTTGACGAACTCTTCTTAATACTCACGTAGGCTTACAGGACTATCATAATGTCAGTGTCAAAATAAAACAAGAGAAATTTCACTTAGTGGGCAGACAATCTATCATTCAATCCTAAGAGGTAACAGGAGTTGGAACAACCAGAAAAGACCAGAAAACATTTAAAATAAAGACAAAGTTGGGGGTGGGAAGGCAGAATAAAGTCTTGAAAGTTTTAGGTGATAAATATTTCCATCAAAAGTAACACTTAACTTTATAAAAGCATGCCACAATTTATTATTCACTATAGGTGGCAAGATTCAAAAGCATGGGAGCAATTACATTTTCCTCAGAATGTATTTGTATGTATAACTTGATACAGGAAGCCAGAAAAGTAGATACTTCTGAATTCTAAAAATTTTAGAATATCAGAAATATACCAGTCTGATATAGCCTATGTTATGACATTTCACATTTTAGCTTTAATTAATTTTTGTTTCACTTCTATAAAATTGCTTATCTTAAATTTCAAGGGCTTTTAAACTTCATTTTCAGATACCAATTGCTTAAGGCCATTTATTAGTTTGTTTGGATAATTGCTGTGTGGTGGGGCTGGTTGAACTACTTGATAGGCAGATATTTCTATGTCAATTTCTATAAGAACATTGACCACTTTAAAATTTCAAATTTAGTACTTTGAAAGAAGAGAAAAATAGAATTAGGGCCCATGGCTGCTGATGTGCCATTTAACAAAATTTCTTGAAAGATGTTAGCTAATTCATGAGTGATGCTTCTGGACTCCTGAAATGTTCTCATATTCCACTGAGACTATCATCCTTTCTCATAATGCCTTACATGACTCTTCCCTGCTCTAACTAACTGGTTTTAGAGTACATTAACCCACTTTTAAGAATTAAACCCACAAGAAATGTACTGCTTGCCTCAATTCCTCATGTCACCCAAGAGGGACAAAAGGGTAGATTGGGTGAGGAATCCTCCCGACAAAACCACATGAAGCCTGGGCCAAATGGAAGATAAAAATAGCTAAAGCTAAAGCCAAGAGATTATCATAATACCTTTGCACAGCTTGTGAGCTAAATCCTTAGTGGGCAAGATCCATGTTGTATGCTTGTCTTACACAACTTCTGGTTGATTCAGAATTGTTTTTAAAGTGAGCCATGAATCTTGGTGGGTATTTTTCGAAGCATTTCTATCAGTTCTAACAAGACCAAAGTCACCTATTCAGCCCACTTAGAGGCAGCAGAAAGTTTTTTCCCTTTGCCGTGGGGATTACCCTAAGATCTAGGGTCTCCCAACAGTGTATTCTCAGACACAAAGGGAACTAGAGGAAATAGCAGGCATTTCTCAGTGTGAGTCATACCTACATGGAACACTTTCTGTTTGTAGTATATCATTTGCATTATCTTCTTAAAGAGCAGAAAAATGCAATGACATGGCATGTTTCTACCTCATTAGGTAATATTTATTTTTTAAAAATAAGATGAGTCGGCTGGGTGTGGTGGCTCACACCTGTAATCCCAGCACTTTGGGACGCCAAGGCAGGTGAATCACTAGGTCAGGAGTTTGAGAACAGCCTGGCCAACATGGTGAAACCCCATCTCTACTAAAAAATACAAAAATTAGCCTGGTGTGGTGGCACATGCCTGTAATCCCAGTTACTCTGGAGGCTGAGGCAGGAGAATTGCTTGAACCGGGGAGGTGGACGTTGCAGTGAGCTGAGATTGTGCCACTGCATCGCAGCCTGGGGGACAGAGTGAGACTCCGCCTTGGAAAAAAAATAAAAATAAAAAATATGATGAGTCAATTTCCATATGGCAGTGATTTTATGTACATTAGGTCCCTGTTAGATGCTCTGGGTATTTAATTTTTTACTTTTTATTGATATATCAGAGTTGTACATATTTTTGGGATACTTTTGATATTTTGATACATGTATACAATGTTTAATGATCAAATCAGGGTAACTGGGATATCCATCAACTCAAACATATATCCTTTGAATTGGGAACATTACAGTTCTTCTCTTCTAGCTATTTTGAAATATACAGTAAATTATTTTTAACTATAATTTCCCTGCACTATTAGAATACTAGAACTTCTGAGTAACCTTTGCTTTCATATAACTAAGAGTTAATATATTTTTTATAGAAATACAAACTTATTTTAAAAGGTAAAGAAAAATTATTCTCTTGGGCTAGACAAGTCAGAGGGCCAGCAGTGAATTTATCCAGACAGTAGGGAGATCAGGAGGATTAGCATAATATGCTAATAAGGGATGCTCCACTTCCTTGGTCTTGGAGACTTGTTGCTAAGCAATACCCACTACAGCAGTGTAAAAGATATGAAAACATAATTCAGTTATAGGAACAATAAAAGCCCTTACATTTTCAAAGGAGGTTGCAATAATACATAATTTCAGGCCAAAACCACTCTGGAGCTCACATGAGGGTTGCCGAGCAGTAGCAAATTATTCAGATTTATGAAGGGGTTGTGTGAGATTAGCAAAAACTTGATGGAAAATTGGGTTAAGCCTCACTGCCATTCATCACTCCTCTACAGCAGGACAATAACCATAAGCACAATGACATTACAAGAAACCACAAGTATACAAGAGATTTATTTCACCAATATGATGCTATCAGATCGAAACTAGATTTAAAGTTCCCATTTTGAAGGTGGGATATTTCATTCACTTAAAATTGTTTCTAAAGTTAACAGGCATTTTCTAGTAAAAGAACAATATTAAAGACCAAATATTTTCAAAATTTCAACTTTACATACATAAATATATCTCTCTTAAGCAATAAGTATTTTGGGCACATAACCTGAAATATTAGAATTCTATCTGAGTTAATTTTTAGGACTAGTTTTTTTTATTATTAAGTGTACTTGGTTTGGATAATAAGTAATTTGGAGGCTGAAATGTGAATTCCTTTTAATGCATTTATAATATCATAAATTACAACCAAGAGTGGTAAGTTTTTAAAGAGGGATTAGTCTCTGAAGAAGGATATATTGGCATTTCTAGTCATGCAGGTTTATTTTAATTGTGTTGAGAAAATATGAGGTATATTGTCACCACAAAGGCATTCTCTCTTGATTCTGTTGCTCTGATTCAAACATGACCCTTTCCTAAACAACTGAATTTTAAAGTCCTTACTACATGAGAAGGATCCATTTATATATGTTTTACATGTTGCCTGTAAATTCATCTCTCTATGTAACACTGTCCCTTGTTAGGGTTATTGACTGTTTCAAATATCTGGGGCAGCAGGGAACTACTGTCCAAAGTATTCTAGAAATGTTTGATGAGCATCTTAACTCTATTAAGTAATAATTTGATGAAATAACAGGTGTGCTTTTGTGCTTCTACCCATGTGCATCCCCCATTCATGCCCGAAGACATGACATTGCCATTCCATTTGTCTCAGGGGAGAGCTGTCTGGATTAGACACTTCTAGTACCTATAATAAAATTTATGAGTTCACTTGAAAGGAATATTTAGGAAGATTAGTAGATCAGCCAGCACTCTACCCATCACCCGGGCTATGTAGAGCCTTCTAAGCTGGAGGAACTGCGGGAGAGTTCAAAGAAGAGGCAGAGGTTCACACTGAAGTTTGTTCACACAGACTGGAGACAGTTCTGGTGGAAGGAGATCCATTTAAAAATGCATACAATTTGGGGACCTGAAAATGGTGGAGACCTGTGTCTCGCCGGGCTCACTGGATCTCTGGTAAAAAGTAACCTCACTGAGTATCTCATAAATGGCTGCCATGTGTCTTTAGGAGAAGAGTGAGGCTTTACTGATATATCTGAGTCCTCTGCCTCAGAAAGACATGGGCATGTAGTGAAATCTTTCCTGTGCTCCTGGGAAGGGTACAGAAGGGCTGAAGGAGAAGCAGCAGCTCTGAGGAATCCCACGGTAGGATCAAAAAGAAAGCAGAGTGGTATACATGATCTCATGACCTGAGGTTGTGGTGAGACCTGGGAGGGTCCGGTAGGGTAGGGGCCATGACTGAAATCCATGTGGGATGTCTGTGCTCCTCAGTGGGGAGCTATAGTTCCCACCCAAGCATTAAAGAGAACTAATACCTCTGCAGCTGAAGGAGGCAGTATTGCCCTATTCTGAGCATTTTCAACTTGGTAGTGTATACACAGGGAAATAAATTACTTTTTCTTCAGTGACTACTCCCAGCTTTGCCAGGCCAATTAGCACTTCTTCAAAGGCAGAGCCTTTAAATGACATGTTGAGAAGTTTGTATAACTTCCTGGTCAAGCAATTCTAAACTTTTAATTTCATATTCTATTCCAAGCTGCTTCTCTACCCCAGCCCCCATCACCCATGGAAATCTTGTCTTATGGGAGGGAAATGCGATCTGCTTTCTTAATCCTTCTGCCAACCCAGGATTTTAAAGTAGAAAGGGACCATGGTTTAGGCTAAGGCCATCTATCTCCTTTTTGTATTCCCTTTCTTCTTTCATTCCTTCATTTCTTTCTTTCCTCTTTCCTCTCTTCCTTTCTTTTCTCCTCCTTTTCTTTTCTTCCTCCTTTCCTTCTTCAGTTCCTCCTTCCCTTTCCTTCATTCTTTTTTCCCTTTTCCCCTTTTTTTCCATTCATTTTCCTCTTTCTCTTTTTCTTCCTTTTTTCTTTCCTTATATTTTCTTCCTTCCCTCCATCTTTTCTTCCTTCCCATAACCTTTTTATTGTTAAATATAACAAAAGTCATCTAAAGTTCTGCTTTGCAAGGACAGTCCTGAGTTATGCCTGCTGTTTCAAGCAGTACCCCATCCATTTTTTACTATCAAAGGTACATGAGATTGAATGGCTCATTACACAGTCATGCCAAGTGTAATAGCATGTGAACCAAAGGTACATTATCCCAAGATAACATTTATATAGCTTCCATAGGTCCAGAAATAGCATGCTGCCAGTATTTAGGAAACTTTCTTCTAATTCCTCTCCAAATCACTACCAAAGGTAACCACTATCCTTACTTGAAACACTATGCTAAGTTTTAAAAATTTTATAAAACTATTCTTTTGTGAGATTCATTAATGTTGCTGAGTGCAGCTAGAATTTGTTTTCGTTTTGGTATAAATATTCCATTAAAAAATTCATTCTACTGTTAAAGGTAGTTGGACAGTTTCTATTTTTAGAGTATTATGAATAATGCTGATAGGAACATTTATATACATACCTTTTGGTATATACATTTCTTTTAGGTAAAAACCAAAGACAAGAGCTACTCAAATAGAGTATGGACATATCTAGAATTGAATGGTAAACTGTTTTCCAAAGTGCATGCTCGTATATAATAATATGGCTGATTTTTTTATATGGATATAGTTTTATTTCCCAAAATAACCCTTTGTAAATTTTAAAATTTACAGATGAGAAAACTGAGACTTAGAAATGTTAAATTTCATGTTGCCGCTCAGACAGGTAATAGGTAGTGGAGCCAGGTGTTGTGCTAACTATTCTACTATAGAGGACTCATACTGAACTTTAGGGTTTACTCGCTCTCAGATGTTGAAAATACTGCTAGTTGCCACTCCTCCACATATTCTCCCTGTCTTCCTAAGCTGCAGAATCCCAATTTTCTCCAGGAAGCAAAGACTGTGTTTTCTAGTCTCATGCAGCTAAGGGTGCTCAATTAGACATAAGCAAAAAGTTTAGGTGAGAAAACTGGGAAGGGCAATTAATGAGGACTGACTCTTTTAGGAGTCACATTCTTTTGTCCTTTCTCTACTTCCTTCTTCTTCCTGCCCCAAACCTAGAGGCAATGGTTGGAGTTTCAGCAGCCATTCTGGACTATGAGGAGGCCCTTGAGGATGGATTTGTCTATTTCTTCTTTCAGGTCTATCAGTTTTGCTTCATGTATTTTGAAGCTGTTTTATAAGATAAACAATCATATGGGATTGTTATGTCCTCTTGGTGAATTTACACCCTTTATAGTGGTGAAATGAACCTTTATGCCTGATGTATTAGTTTCCTAAAAGTACTGTAACAAATTATCACAAACTGGGTGGCTTTAAAAAATTTATTTTCTCACAGGTCTAGAGGTTAGAAGTCAGCAATCAAGGTGTTGGCAGGGTCCCTTTCCCTTTCAAGGCTGAAGATAAGAATTCTTCCGTGCCTCTTCTGTCTTCTGATTGTTCCCAGCAATACTTGGTGTTCTTTTGTTCTTTATCTTGTGACAGCATAGCTGCAATCTCTGCCTCTGTCTTCACATAGAATTTTCCTTTTGTCTCTGTGTCCATATTCCCATCTTCTTATAAGAACACCAGTCAAAATGATTTTAGGGCCCTTTCTAATTAAGTATGACTTCATCTTAAATTGAGTAAATCTGCAAAGACCCTATTTCCAAGTGGGTGTGAATTTTGGGTGAGCATTACTTTTTTTTTTTTTTTTTTTTGAGACAGAGTCTTGCTCTGTCACCAGGCTGGAGTGCAGTGGTGCGATCTCAGCTCACTGCAACCTCTGCCTCCCGGGTTCAAGCGATTCTCCTGCCTCAGCCTCCCTGGTAGTTGGGATTACAGGCACGAGCCACCACGCCCAGCTAATTTTTGTATTTTTAGTAGAGATGGGGGTTTCACCATGTTGACCAGTATGATCTCGATCTCTTGACCTTGTGATCCACGTGCCTCAGCCGCCCAAAGTGCTGGGATTACAGATGTGAGCCACTGTGCCTGGTGGGTGAGCATTACTTTTTAAGAGACATTACTCAATCCAGTACATCTGGTAATATCCTTTGACTGAAACTCATTTTCTCTTATGTTAATATAGCCAGTCTAGTTTTATTTTTACTTGTGTTCATATGGGATATCTTTTTCCATTCTTTTACTTTTAACATATAATTGTTTTTTATATTTAAATAATCTTTCTTATAGACATATAGTTGGATCTTGCTTTTTTAAAAATCCAAGTAGATAATTTCTGTTTTTTTTAATTAGAGTATTTAGACCATTCACATTTAATGTAATTCCTAATATGGTTAGATTTAAATTTATCATCTTTCTAGTTGTTTTCTATTTGTATTCCATCGTTTCTCTGTTCTCCCTTTCTCATTTCTCCTGACTCTATTGTTAACATTTTTGACTCCACTTTAATTCTTTTCTTGACTTATTAACTATAACTTTTTGTTTTATTATTTTGTTGGTTGCTTTGTGGTTTATGGTGTACTTATTTAATTTATTTATTTTTTTTTTTTTGAGACAGAGTCTCACTCTGTAGCCCAGGCTGGAGTACAATGGCATGATCTCAGCTCACTGTAACCTCTGCCTCCTGGGATCAAGCAACCCCCCTTCCTCAGCCTTCCAAGTAGCTGGGACTACAGGCGTGTACTATCACACCTGGCTAATTTTTGTATTTTTAATAGAGGCGGGGTTTCACCATATTGGCCAGGCTGGTCTCAAACTCCTGACTTCAAGTGATCCACCTACCTCGGCCTCCCAAATGTGGTATACATTTTAAACTTATTATAGTCTATATTAAAGTGATATTTTATTAACTGACATATATAAAAACTTTAAGCTAACACACTTTCTTTACTTTCTCTTTCTTCCTACCTCTGCCCCTGACCTTCCTACTATTGTTTTTTGTATATCTTACTTATACCTATGTAATAGGCCCCAGAATAAATTGTTAATTTTGTTTGAACATTAAATTATCACTTAAAGAGATTTAAAACAGTAAGACAGGCATATTTACTATTTTACCCATGTGGTTACCATTTCTAATGTTCTTCTGTGTAAATAGATATTTCCAGTTGGTTTCATTTTCCTCCTGCCTGAAAAACTTGCTTTATCATTTCTTATAGTGTAGGTTTATTGATGATAAATCATTTCAATTTATTTTTGTCTGATAAAATATTTATTTCACTTAGGTTTTACAAGGATATTTTCTGTAGGTATAGAATTCTATATTTTTATATCAATACTTTAAAGATGTTACTCTCCCATCTGCTTATTTGCATTATTTCTTATGGGAAATAGTAGAACACCCTTTGTTCTCCTCTATGTAAAGTATCTTTCTATCTGGCTGCTTTCAAGATTTTCTCTTTATCACTGTTTTTGAGCATTTTGACTGTGATACATCTAGAAAAATGTCTTCAGCTTAGGGTTTCTTCAGTTTAGAATTGGTTGACCCTTTTAGAGGTCAACAGTTTAGAGTTGTTGCTGCATGTTTCTCTGTGGGTTTATAGTACTCATCAAATTTGAAAAATGTTTGGCCATTATTGCTTCAAATAATTTTTCTTTTCCCCTCATCTCTCTCCTTCCTTTCTGAGACTCCTGTTACCTCAAAACCTACCTGAATTGTTCCACAGCTTACTGATGCTAGACTTATTTTTAAAATTCTGTTTTTTTCTGTAATGTTTAATCTGCCATTATTCTTTAGTATATTTTTCACTTTTTACATTTTAGTTTTCACGTGTAGAAATTCAGTGTGAATCTTTTGTATATTTGTCATGATTCTCTTCTATTTTTTAGCATATTTAATACAACTATAATAACTTCTTTAATGTTACCTGTTAATTCTAACATGTCAATTTTAAGTTTGCTTCTATTGATTGATTTTTCTTATCTTCATGAGTTATATTTTTCTGCTTATTTGCATGCCTGGTAATTTTTCTTTCCAGACATTGTATATTTTACATTGTTGGATGCCAGATATTTTGTATTCTTATAAATAATCTTGAGATTTGTTATGGGATGCAGTTTAGGTACTTAGAAACAATTTGATCCTGTATTAATCATTCTTGGATTTGTTAGGTTGGAAAGAAGCAATGCTCAGTCAAGGACTACCACAAAAGCAATGCCTTTCTGTGTACTCTGCCCAGTACTTTGTGAATCATACACTTTTACAGTCTTCCTGGTAGTAATCGGCCCATTTCCAGCCCTCTGTGACTGTTAGACCCTATTACCTCTAATTATTGTGTGTTCTTTCTCCAGCCTCAGGTGTGTTCCTCACATACAGGTGCTGATCAATAATCAGGTAAATACTTAGAGGGTTTCTGTACAGATCTCTGGAGTTACCTCTTTGTGTAGCTCTCTCCTATTCAATCGGTCCTGCAATACTGTCTGTCTTATTCTACTCGAATCTCATCTCTGTATTAGTATTCAGGGGATTGGCTGGGTACCTTCTGAAGTTTCATTTTCCTTTACTATGGCCTGGAAACTCTCTGAGGGCAGTAAGTTAGAGAAATTGTAGGACTCGATTAATTTGTTCGTATTTCTCCGGGGTCATTCTCTTTCATTGCATGATGTCCAGTGTCTTGAAAACTGTTGTTCTATATATTCTATCCTGTTTATTTGTGTCAGGCAGGAGAGGAAATTCAGTGCCTGCTACTCCATCTTGGCAAGAAGTAAAATTCATTTTGATATATTTAAAATATTGACATTACATCTAGCAATCTTGTTAGACTCACTAATCATAACATTTTAGGTGTATTCTTTGGCATTTTAAACATATACAATCACATTATTCACAAGTATACACAGTTCTATTTCTCTCCTTTTCCTTTGTCAAGGACCCACCCCCTCCTACTTCACAGAGAAAATAGAGGCCCCAAGGCAGGGTATTAGGGTGATGCTGGCCTCATAAAATGTGTTTGGAAGTATTTTTTCTGGCTCTATTTTTGGAAGAGTTTAAGATGTTGGTAATAATTCTTTGAATGTTTGAGAGAAGTCAGCCATGAAGCCATCTGATCTGGGTTTTCTTTTATTGGAAGGCTTTAATTACTTTCTTAGTCTTTTTATTTGTTTTTCATCTTTTCAGGCTTTCCATTTTTTCCTGATTCAATAATGGTAGGTTGTATTTTTCTACAAATTTAACCATTTTCTCTAGGTTATTTAATTCATGACCTATAATTGTTCATAACAATCCATTATGAACCTTTTTATTTCTGAGCCATCTGTTGTAATGTCTCCACTTTCATTTGTAATTTTACTTATTTGAGCTTTCTCTGTTTTTGTTTTTAGTTACTCTAGGTAAGAGTTTGTTGGTTTTGTCAATTTTTTTCAAAGTGTCAACTTTTGGTTTTATTCATTTTTTTTGGTTCTCTATTTGATTTATTTCTGTTGTGATCTTTATTTTTTCCTTCCTTCTGCTAACATTGGGTTTAGTTTGATCTTTTTTCTAGCTCCTTAAGACATAATGTTATGCTATTTATTTTGACTATTTCTTTTATTTAAAAAATGGAGGCATTTATTGCTATAAGCCCTTCCCTTAGAGCTGTATTGATGCATCCCATAGGTTTTCATATATTGGATTTTCATTGTCATTTATCTCAGATTTTAAATTTTTCCTTTTGATTTTTTCCTTGACCCATTAGTTGTTCCAGGAGCATGTTGTTTAATTTCCACATATTTGTAAATTTTCCAAAATTATTCTTGTTATTGATTTCTAGTTTCACACCATTGTGCTGAGAAATAGTCTGGATATTATTTCAGTCTTCTTGAATTTGTTAAGACTTGTTTTGTGGCCTAATGCATTGTCTGTCCCGGAAAATATTCCATGTGTACTGGAGAAGAATGCATGCTCTGCCTCTGTTCAATTAAAAATTCTATGTATGTCTGTTAGATCCATTTGGTCTAAAGTGCATTTTAAGTCCAGTATTTTCTTGTTAATTTTCTATCTTGTTAATCTATTAATTGTTGAACATGGGATAGTGAAGTCCCCCACTGTTATTATATTGTTCTCTATTTCTTTTTTATGTTCATTAATATTTGCTTTATAAATTTAGGTGCTCCAAAGTTGAGTGCATATATATTTACAATTGTTATGTCCTCTTGATGAGTTGACTCTTTTATCATTACAAAATAAACTTCTTTGTCTCTTATAATAGTTTTTGACTTGAGGTCTAAGTTTATCTGATGTTAAGTATAGCTACCCCTGCTCTCTTTTGCATGGTACTGTTTTCCATCCTTTCATTTTTTAGCCTATGTATGCTCTTAAAGCTAAAGTGGGTCTCTTCTAGGTAGCATATAGTTAGGTCTTTTTTAATCCGTTTAGCCACTCTATGTTTTTTGATTGGAGAGTTTCATCTATTTACATTCAAGAATTTACTACTGCCATTTTGTTAATTGTTTTCTGGTTGTTTTGTAGCTCCTTTACTTCTTTTTTCATCTCTCATTGTCGACTGTTGTGATTTGGTTATTTTCTGCAGTGCTAAGCTTTTATTCCTTTCTATCATTTATCTGCTGTTGTTTCATTTTGTTTTCTGTTTGTTTTTTGCTTTGTGGTTATCATGTGGCTTACATAAAACATCTTATAGCTCTTTCAAGCTGTTAGCTAGTTAGCTTCAATCACATACACATACTCTAAACTTTGTTGCCTCCCATTATTTATATTTTTATTTTCAACATTTACTTTTTTATATTGTATATTTCTTACCAACTTACTGCACCTAAAGTTACTTTTGACCATTTTGACTTTTAAACTTCATATTAGACATTTGAAAGATTTACACACCACCATTAGAATACTAAAGTATTCCAAATTTGATTATGAATTTACCTCTATCAGTGAGTTTTATACTTTCATGTTTTTATAATAGTAATTATCACTTTTTTTCCCAATTAAAGCACTCCCTTAAGCATTTGTTCTAAGGCATGTATAGTGGTGATGGATTCCCTCAGCTTTTGCTTCTCTGTAAAATACTTTATTTCTCTTTCATTTCTGAAAAATAGGTTGGGTGGGTATAGTATTTTTGCCTGGCAGTTTTTTTTTTTTCTTTGAGCACTTTGAATCTATCATTACGTTTTCTCCTGGCTTGCAAGGTTTCTGCTGAGAAATCCACTGATAGTCTAATGGGGATTTCATTGTATGTCTCTTGACGTTTTTCTTTTTCTGATTTAAAAATTCTCTGTTTGTCTTTGACTTTTTTATTGTAATATGCCTAAGTGAGGAGCTTTTTGGGTTGAACCTGCTTGGGACATTTGAGCTTCATGGATCTGCTTGTTTGTATATCTCCCAAAACTGAGGAAGTTTTCAACAATTATTTGATTAACTAAGCTTTCTGTGCATTTCTCTGTCTCTTCTCCATCTGAAACTCTTATAATGTTAAAATTTATTCACTTAATGTTGTCTAATCATTTTTGTAGGTTTCCTTCTTTCTCTTAGTTTGCTGTCGAAGCTCTCATTTGTATTTTTTATTTTATTCATTGATATCTTCAGCTTTAAGACTTTTGTTTGGTTATTTTTTGTGACATATATCTCTTTATTGAATTTCCCATTCAGATAGTGCATTATTTTCTTGATTTCATTGAATTATCTAGCTGTATTCTCCTGTATCTTGCTGAGCTTCCTTGAGATCATTATTTTAAGTTCCTTTTCAGGTAATTTATAAGTTTCCATTTCTTTGGTGTCAGTTACTTGCAAATTATTGTGTTCTTGTAGTGGTGACATGTTTCCTTCCTTTTTCTTCTTTGTTATGATCCTGTGTTGATGTCTGCACATCTGATGGAGCAGTTGACTCTTCAGTTATATATTTCTGGCTTTCATAGGGAAAGACTTATGTGCAAATGAGTTGGAACTAAGATGTCAGTTGGACAGAGTGTGTTGGCTCTGGGTTCAGGTGGGCATGGTATTATAGTCTACATACATGTTCTTCAACTGTGATCAATGTCAGTGATGACTGCAGGCACCTCAGTGGTCTGGACTTCAGGAGACTGTGGCAGGGGTGTTTGCAGGGTTGGTTGTTAGAGTTCATAGTGGCAAACTTTTTAGGAGTCTTTTATTTTCTTTCCTCACAGTGGGAGACTTAGCTGATGGGGTCCTCATTGGTGTTGGGTCTGACACGGGCCATAGGCAGCTCAGGAGCACTATGTTCCAGGGTACAGGTGCTCAGAATGGCTGTGGAGCTGGTATGCTGGATTCAGTGTCCTGTTGAACTATCGTAGCACCTTTGATAAGAGCGAAGGTTTACTCTCTGAGGCACAGTGGATGCAGCTCTCCCACCAAGCTGAGGACTGTAACTCTAAAGGCACTCTCCAGTAGCTCAGCCCCAGGAGACAGAGATGTAACTGTGACTCCGATCCTCCAGCACTGGCAAAACTCCAGGAAAGGAGGAGTGTTTCACAGGTTCAGGCCCCAGGAAGAGGGCACAACTGCAATCCAGGTCCTGGAGCCAGCAGAGCTCAGTGGCAAGTTGGGCACAAGAAAAAGGAGATATTGCATAGTGGTGACTGGACCCTGGAGTAGTGGGACACAATAGTGGCCCAGGCTCTGTACATCCTGTTGCAGCAGCAGCAAAAACCCAGGAATGGTAGGAAAGCTGTGGCTTGGGCCCTAGGTGGTACAGAACACTGTAAGCATGGTGCCACTCCCCAAGGAGATAGGATATCTTAGCAACTCAAACTCTGGAAGGCTGGTTCTGATCTAGGGAGGTAAGGCACTGTGGATCTTTGGCCCAGAGGGTGAAGAAGCACAGCTCAGGAAGGCTCTATTTCCTTGGTGGGGCAGGGTGCTATGTCAGCTCAAGCACAAGGAAGGTGTGGCTGTTGTACTGGACTGATGTTCCAATTCTGGGAGGGGAAGAATCAGGTGGGACCCTGGGTTGGTTCAGGTCCTAGAGGATGAGGTTGCTATGCAGACTTGGGTGTAGTTTCTCTCTTGCACAATGATCCTGGTACCCAGGGAGATCAGAGTGCCACACTGGGTTGGACGCCAAGGTTATGGCTCCTCTCTTCATCTGGAACTCCAATTTCAGGAGGATGAGGCACCAGGTTGACTCAGGCACTAGGGAGCACAGTTGCTCCACTGGCTCAGGCATGGATTCTCTGCTGAGCCAGAGCACTTGGTCCCTGAGAGGCAGGACACCCCATGTGCCAAGGTTGCAGCTGCTCCCTTGGGTAGAAGCTCCAATTTCCTCAGCACAAGGCACCAGATTAGTTCAGGTGCCAAGGGTATGTAGCTGCTCTGGTAAATCCATTATATCTTACTCACTGGGCTGAAGGGTATGGTCCCTGAGGGGCAGGGTGCTGTGTTGGCTGTGCACGGGGTCACAGCTACTCTCAAGCCAATGCTTGATTCCTGTGGAGCAGGCGATAGGTTGGTTTGAGCATCAGGGAGCACAGCTGCTCTGCTGGGCCTAGTCTTTGAGTAGCTGGGGTTGAGGGGAGCAGCAATTGGGATTGGGGAAGTGGAATGCTTCCTATGCAGCTTATTTCAAGATGGTAGGGGGCTACAGAAGCTGAGTGAGGAAATGGTATCCTACCATTTGTGTGAAAGTGGGGGTGCAATGATGGCAGAGCCTCAGGGATGGAGGGATACAATGGCTACTGGCCCCCAGAACAGAACACACTCTAGCAGTAGCTCTGGTTTTAACATGTTGCAGTGCAGTAGCAGTTTGATTCACAGGGTGCAAGGTACAACATAGGCTCATCTGGAGTAGTGCCTCCATGTGAATTCTATGCAGCTCCCTTAGCTGGGCTCAGGGTCTGTGAGGGCTGCAGGATCCATTAGTAGTGAAAACTGTGAGTGTCCTCTACAGTGATGGAGGCTGCTAGGGGCCTTCTGCTTATCTTTTCCTTGCAAGGAGAAGTCCCTCCTGGTCCCAAGCTGATCTCAACTGAGGAGGAAGAGGGTATGGTGGATACATGATGTTTCTTTCTCTTCTGGATGTGTACATCCTGAGTTTCTGTGCTCCACAGAGTTTCTGCCACTCCCTTGCTGTTCCCCAGCACTCTCCTTTAGTCACTGTGGTTGAAATGTAGTTGTTCATTCATCATTTGGGTCCTTTTTTGTTGGGGGCAAGTGTTAGGCACCTCTAGTGAGCTGTCTTGCTGACATCACTCTCTGTAGCATTTAATAATGGAAAATTTATTTGTAGAACTATGCCTGTCCTACATCTTCTTTCTCTTATCTTTCTAAACTGATTATTTGAATATTGGACATCTAGGACTGAATCTTTAATCTTTGCTCTCTTGTTCTTCACATCTTATTGCTGTTTCTATTTCTAAGAAATTTCCTTAAAATTATTTTATACTGAATTTCTCATTAATAGTAACTTTTAAGTGCTCTTTTATACTTTCTCAGAATATATTATTTTAAAGCTTCTTGAAACTGCCATTGCAAAATTATAACTGAGACAGTCAAAGAGATCTTACCTAACCAACTCTGTCTTACTTTTAACCTCCAAGCTGTCCTTGTGCATTCCTGGGTGAAGGCTGAACTAACTTTAAGAGGAACTTAGTTTATACTTTAAAACAAAGACAATAACAGCCCTTTCCCAAAACAAACCTCCTTGCCTGGGGACTAGACTGTCTTTGTGGGACTAGACTGCCTTTGTAGTACTAACAAATTAGCCAAACATTCAAAATTATGGTTTAGGAGTCATGTAGCTGGAGGCTACAAGATTCTGACTCTCCCTAAACTTCACCGAAAATCAGTGTTTGAGATATTTGGCCGACCCTGAACTTGATGGGTCAGCTGGCACCACCCATATTGATAAACTGGCTCATCTGATCTGTGGCCCCCACCCAGGAACTTACTCAGCACAAGAGGAGAGCTTCAACTCCCTATGATTTCTTCTCTGACCCAACCGATCAGCACTCTTGACTCACTGGCCTTCTTCCACCCACAAAATTATCCTTAAAAATTGATCCCCCAATGCTTGGGGAGACTGATTTGAGTAACAATAAAGCTCTGCTCTCCCATACAGCCGACTCTGTCTGAATTACTCTTTCTCTGTTGCAATTTCCCTGTCTTGATAAACCAGCTCTGTCTAGGCAGCAGGCAAGGTGAACCCATTGGGTAGTTACACTCTTATTCTTATTTTAATTTATTTTTAGTGTTTTAAAAATTTTTTTCATTTCCCTGCCCATTACCTCTAATTCCTTTTTGTGCATTTGTTTGTTTTTATCTTTGTTTTTCACATTAGAGTCTTTTCTCAAACATTGGGTGAATTGTATTGAAGGGCACTGATATGGTTTGGCTCTGTGTGTCCCTACCCAAATCTCACATCAAATTTTAATCCCCATAATCCCCGCATGTGGGGTGGAACCAGGTAGAAGTAACTGAACCATAGGGGCAGATTCCCTTATGCTGTTCTTGTGATAGTGAGTGAGTCTCAGGAGATCTGATGGCTTGATAAGCATCTGGCATTTCCCTTACCTGCACTCACGCCGTCCTGCTGTCCTGTGAAGATGCCTGCTTCTACTTTGCTTTCTGCCATATTGTAAGTTTCCTGATGCCTCCCCAGCCATACGTAACTGTGAGTCAATTAAATCTCTTTTCCTTATAAATTACCCAGTCAAGGTTATTTCTGCATAGCAGTGTGAGAACGGGCTAATACAGCCACTCAAAAGCTGATGGGACACCCCATGTGCTTGCTCAGGACTTATAAATTCGTTGGCTGCTTTGCAGGGTGAATCACCAGTTGTCAGTATCTCTAGCCCATTTCTTTTGCACTGATTGGCACCTCCAAAGGTGAATCATCTAACATCCTTAGAGAAGGATATTACTGCCCACATTCTCAGAATAGTTTGTTACAAGAGGAGTGGATAACTCAACATTCAGAATATAGGATTTCAATTAATCTTCTGTGTTTAGTGCAATGACAACTCAGCTGTGCTTTTGGTCTCCACATCCAGTCTCTGGTTCATTGTAGATAGTGATTAAATTTCTAGTCTTCTGCCAAGAAGACACAGGAGCAGCAGCCCAGCTGTATGTGTGACAGGGTCGGGGTTCTAACTGCTTTTCTCACAGACTTAGAGCTTGTGTTCCTGGTTTGAGCTCTACCTCTAACAAAAAGTTTTAGAAATACTGAGCACCTCTAATTATGGGTTATTCTACTGCATGAAGTAGCTAGTTTTTAGGCTTCCCTCACTGCCACCATATGTTTCAAAAAATTTCTGGTCTTCAAGTTCAGTTATAACTCCTTCCTTTTCTTTACAGCTTTTAAAATTTATTGTAATTTCCTCTCTCATCCTCCTTAACTTTGTGAATTTATGCTTCTTAAAATTTCCTTTACTGTAGTATATTTATACAATGAAGTATGAAATAGCAATATGAATGCTATTTTTATAGCATTTGATCTATAATTAATATAATTAATATGGAGGAAAATAAGCCAGATACAAAAGAATTCATACTCCATGATTTTTTTCATATCAGGAAAAACCTGGAAAAATTAATCTATGTTGTTGGATGTCAGGGTAACGAATACATTTGGAGTTACTACAGTGATTGGCAATGGGATGAGGGAGTTCTTGGGATGCTTAGAAGGTTCTGTTTCTTGCTGTGTTTGCTGGTTACACATATATGTTCAGTGTTGAAAATTCATCAAGCTTTATACTTACGATGTGTGCCTTGTTTTGTGTGAATTATATATATGGTTTACTTCAAACTTTTAAAAGTTTATTTACTGCCATTTTAGTAAGTTCTGGAACACAGTAAAAGTCAACGCATAGATTGCATCTGTGATTTTTAACCTAAAGTTCCACATTTGTACAGTATTTCGTCATAATTTACTATGTGTCTATTACTAAAATACCTTTTAATTTACCTGGGGACATATTTAGAAAAATCGTGAAGCAAAGTTAACTATGCCTTTCATATTTATATTCCTCTACATCTCCAGCAACATATTTTGCTTCTGCAGCAGATTAACAATGCAATATGCTTACCTAAAAAGGGTCTTCTTTCTAGTAGTCAGGAAACTAGTTTTATCCCAGATAAAATCTTTTTATCTAATTTCATCGTAGACATGACCTCTTCTAAATTTAGTTTGGTTTACCCCATGAACATTTATTTTCTTTAGATAAGAATTGAATTTCTACTATAATCCCAGTGCTGTATCATAAACTGTTGAAACTAATCTTTTGTGCAAATACATGCATAAATAGTTTTAAATGAAGGTAAAATGTAATAAAGTACTAAACCCTGTGGCTTTTTAGGCAAGTCTGCCCTGAATGCCCCTCCTTTTTCTTATTACTCTGCCAAATACAACTGTACTTGAAACTGCCTTTTCAAACATTATAACAGTGACAAAATTATGACAGTGAAAGAGATCTGATCTAAGCAACCCCCATCTTGCCTGTAATCTTTAAACTGCCCTTAATTATTCCTGGGCTTGAGCCAAGCTAACTGGGAGACTTTATAGTTTAAATGACAATAGCCCTTCCCCAAGACTAAATCGCCTTTGTAAAGCTCATGAAAGACCACCATGATAGGAGAATGAAGAGCCCCAGTTCTGCTAAGATGTAGGCATAAATGCTTACCAGCTGTTATTCTGGAGGTCACAAGACTTGCAACTCCCCAATCACTCCTGCAGATAACATCATTATTGTGCAACCTAAGATTGGCTTTCTTGGGTATCTCTTCAGGTTTTTGCATGGGATGACTTCACCCGTGGGTCCCGTGACCCTACCCGGAAGCTGACTCCTTGTCCCACCAAACTATCCTTGAAAAACCCTACCCTCTGAATTTTCAGTGAGATAGATTTAAGTAATAACTCTATCTTCTACCTGGCGTGACCAGCCTCTAATATCTTTTTATCTTTTCTTTTTAATTATTATACTTCAAGTTCTGGGATACATGCGCTGAACGTGCAGTTTTGTTACATAGGTATACATGAGCCATGGTGGTTTGCTGCACCCATCAACCCACCACCTACATTAGGTATTTCTCCTAATGCTATCCCTCCCCTAGCCCTCCACCCCCTGACAGGCCGCCGTGTGTGATGTTCCCCTCCCTGTGTCCATGTGTTCTCATTGATCACCTCCTACTTATGAGTGAGAACATGTGGTGTTTGGTTTTCCGTTCTGTGATAGTTTGCTGAGAATGATGGTTTCCAGCTTCATCCATGTCCCTGGAAAGGACATGAACTTATCCTTTTTTATGGCTGCATAGTATTCCATGGTGTATATGTGCCACATTTTCTTTATCCAGTCTATCATTGATGGACATTTGGGTTGGTTTCAAGTCTTTGCTATTGTGAATAGTGCCGCAATAAACATACGTGTGCATGTGTCTTTATAGCAGCATGATTTATAGTTCTTTGGGTATATATGCAGTAATGGGATGGCTGGGTCAAATGGTATTTCTAGTTCTAGATCCTTGAGGAATTGCCACACTGTCTTCCACAATGGTTGAACTAATTTATACTCCCACCAACAGTGTAAAAGTGTTCCTATTTCTCCACATCCTCTCCAGCATCTGTTGTTTCCTGACTTTTTAATGATCATCCTTCTAACTGGTGTGAGATGGTATCTCATTGTGGTTTTGTTTTACTTTTCTCTAATGTCCAGTGATGATGAGCTTTTTTTTCATATGTTTATTGGCTGCATAAAATGTCTTCTTTTGAGAAGTGTCTGTTCATATCCTTCACCCACTTTTTGATGGGGTTTTTTCTTGTAAATTTGTTTAAGTTCTTTGTAGATTCTGCATATTAGCTCTTTGTCAGATGGATAGATAGCAAAATTTTTCTCCCATTCTGTAGGTTGCCTGTTTACTCTGATGATAGTTTCTTTGGCTGTGCAGAAGCTCTTTAATTTAATTAGATCCTCTTTGTCTACTTTGGCTTTTGTTGCCATTGCTTTTGGTGTTTTAGACGTGAAGTCTTTGCCCATGCCTGTCCTGAATGGTATTGCCTAGGTTTTCTTCTAGGACTTTTTTTTTTTTTGAGATGGAGTCTTGCTCTGTTGCCCAGGCTGAAGTGCAGTGGCACGATCTCAGCTCACTGCAACATCCACCTCCCAGGTTCAAGCGATTCTCCTGCCTCAGCCTCCTGAGTAGCTGGGATTATAGGTGTGCACCACCATACTCAGCTATTTTTTTGTATTTTTAGTAGAACTCCTGACCTCGTGATCCACCTGCCTCAGTCTCCCAAAGTGCTGGGATTACAGGCGTGAGCCACTGCACCTGACCGTCTTCTAGGATTTTTATGGTTTTAGGTCTTACGTTTAAGCCTTTAATCCATGTTGAGTTAATTTTTGTATAATGTGTAAGGAAGGGATCCAGTTTCAGTTTTCTGCGTATGGCTAGCCAGTTTTCCCAACACCATTTATTAAATAGGGAATCCTTTCCCCATTGCTTGTTCATGTCAGGTTTGTCAAAGGTCAGATGGTTGTAGATGTGTGGTGTTATTTCTGAGGACTCTGTTCTGTTCCATTGGTCTATATCTCTGTTTTGGTACCAGTGTCATGCTGTTGTGGTTACTGTAGCCTTGTAGTGTAGTGTAAAGTCAGGTACCATGATGCCTCCAGATTTGTTCTTTTTGCTTAGGATTGTTTTGGCTATGTGGACTCTTTTTTGGTTCTATATGAAATTTAAAGTAGTTTTTTTCCAGTTCTGTGAAGAAAGCTAATGGTAGCTTGATGGGGATAAAATTGAATCTATAAACTACTTTGGGTAGTATGGCCATTTCCACGATATTGAATCTTTCTATCCATGAGCATGGAATGTTTTTCCATTTGTTTGTGTCCTCTCTTATTTTCTTGAGCAGTGGTTTGTAGTTCTCCTTGAAGAGGTCCTTCACATCCCTTGTAAGTTGGATTCCTAGGTATTTTATTCTCTTTGTAGCAATTGTGAATGGGAGTTCACTCATGATTTGGCTCTCTGTTTGTCTGTTATTGGTGTATAGGAATGCTTGTGATTTTTGCACATTGATTTTGTATCCTGAGACTTTGCTAAAGTTGCTTATCAGCTTAAGGATATTTTGGGCTGAGACAGTGGGGTTTTCTAAATATACAATCATGTCATCAACAGGACAATTTGACTTTCTCTCTTCCTATTTGAATACCCTTTATTTCTTTCTCTTGCCTGATTGCCCTGGCCAGAACTTTCAATACTATGTTGAATAGGAGTGGTGAGAGAGGGCATCCTTGTCTTGTGCCAGTTTTCAAAGGGAATGCTTCCAGTTTTTGCCCATTTAGTATGAACTTTTTCTTTATTGCAATGCCATGGTATCCATGAATTGGCTTTGTCTGTGCAGTGGGCAGGAAGAATACGTTAGGCAGTTACATACTCAGTCTTCTCAAGGTCATAAACAAAAATCAAGCCCTTTTTTTCTAAAATTTCTTAACTCTATAATATCTTTCCTTACCCTGTTTGCTTCTGCTTTGCCAGACAGTTTCTCTAAATTTGGACTGGTCAATTTGATTTCTACTTTTGGATATCAAACTATTAGTCACCCTCCTTTCATTATTAATTTTTAAATTGAGTAAATGAAAACTTTACTCTCCATTATAAAAGAGAAGTGGGAAATACAGGTTACAGATCTTAATCTTAGTATATTAATAATCAAGCTATCTTCTATGAAATGATTGGTGTTATGTTGATGCTAAATTTAAAATTAACAGCTACTAATGCTTGAAATGTAGATCATGTAGGATCAAATTGGTTGCCATTAACAAAAAAACCCAATTCAACTAGCTTAAACATTGGGGTTTAGGTTATTGTCTCATATAACAAGAAGTCTGTAGGTAGGTAAATAGAAGGTGAGGCTTTCTCTATCGCTCTACTCTGATCTCTCTGATGTGTTAACTTTGTTCTCAGGTTTGCTCCCCTCATGGTTGCAAAGTGGCTGCCAGCATTCCAGGTAGCATATTCTGATGTGAAAATACCCAGAGGAAGAAGACAGTATTTCTTTCTGTGTGAATTTTTTCTTTCTTCTAAAGGAAAAAAAAAATTTCTCAAATTCCCTGGCAAATTTCATTTAATTCTCATTGCTCAGAATTAACTCATCTGTTCATGCCTAAATCAAATCACTAGTAATAGGATTGAGATTATAATAACTGGTTTCAACTAATCACGAGTTACTTCTGACGTAAGGATAGACTCCCCCTCAATGAAGGATGAATTATTGAACAAATTCGTTATTCTGTTTATAAGGGAAAAATGAGTGAGACATGAATATTTCTTTAAAAAGCAGTGGAACGTAATATAATTCAGTTTACTGTTTGCTTCATTTCTTTCACTTCTATTCAAATCCACAGACTTTTCTTGATGTTCACTGTCATGATGCTAGCAGAAAATATCAATATTGTTACTGGAAAGGAGCCCCAATCCAGGCCCAAGAGAGGGTTCCTGGACCTTGCACAAGAAAGAATTCAGAGCAAGTTCATAAGTTTATTAAGAAAGTAGAGGAATAAAGAATGGCTACTCTATAGTCAGAGCGGTGGTGTGAGCTGCTCGACTGAATACACTTACAGTTATTTTTTGATTATATGCTAAGCAAGGAGTAGATTATTCGTGAGTTTTCCAGGAAAGGGGTGGCCAATTCCTGAAACTGAGGGTTCCTCCTCCTTTTAGACCACATAGAGTAACTTCCTGACATTGCTATGGCATTTGTAAACTGTCATGGCACTGGTGGGAGCTTCTTTTAGCATGCTGATGAATTATAATTAGCAGTGAGAAACACCAGAGGTCATAATTAACATAATAAGCCATGAGAATGACCAGAGGCCACTTTTATCGCCACCTTGGTTTGATGGTTTTGGCTGGCTTCTTTACTACATCCTTTTTGATCAGGAAGGTCTTTGGGACCTACATTTTGTGCTGACCTCCTATCATCTTGTGACTAAGAATGGCTAACATCCTGAGAGTGCAGCCCAGTAGGTCTCATCCTTATTTTACCCAGCCCCTATTCAGGATGGTGTCACTCTGGTTCACATGCCTCTGACAAATCTCTTCTCTCGACTTCTGTAGTAGACTCTTAACTGGTCTCCCTGCCTACACTGTTACTTCCTCTGATGTATCTTCCACGTTATAAATGGTGTGCTACTGTGTGTGTATGTGTGTGCCTACGTGTATGTATGTGTGGAATATAATTATATCTATGCTTAAATCTTATTTATTTTTATCATGGCAATTAAACTTAACATGAGATCTCTCCTATTAATACATTTTTAAATGTACCATACAGTATTGCTAACTTGCTGTTCAATGGGTATAAAGCTTCAGTTGTGTAAGACCTATGAATTATAAAAAATCCGCTATACAATGAGCTGAAATCTTAAATAGCAACTTGGGTCACTCTCAGTCTAACCTTCTGTGTTCCAAGCACACTAATCTTTTTTTTTTTCCCCTCCTGGAACACGCCTAATTCTCTTAGTTCTATCTCGAGGGTCTTGCACATGTTCTCTTTCTGAAAAACTCCTCTCTTTTCCTTTCTTTTATCTTCCTTACCCACCCCATCTAAGTCAGAGCTCAATTCAAGCATTGTTTCCACAGAGAACTTTCTCTGAGTCTCCATTCTAGATCCAGCCTCTACTCCAACACAGGTCCTTAAAACTATTTGCTTCAGTAAAGCTGAGGTTTATCTACATCTAAGAAAAAAATACAAATAAGAGTGGCTTATACAAAATAGAGTTTTATTTTTCCCTTGTATAAAAAAAGTCAGAAGTAAGCCAATCAGGACAGCTATAGCAGCTCCATGTCATCAAGAACTCAGGCTTTTCTTTTATTCTGTTCCATCATCCAGAAGGAAAGTAATATATTTTACCCCAAATATATTTCTTTGACATATTATTAAATGGCGGCCCTTTAGCCAGCAAACAGAAGTGCAGAAGTGGCCATGCAAAGCTGTTTGTGTGTGTGTGTGTGTGTGTGTGTGTGTGTGTGTGTGTGTTGGTGGGGAGGGGGTGGACAATTTGCATCTGTAGAGAATCTCCATTAATGCAGCTATGCCCCTCCCCTTCCTATCCCCTTCCCAGATTCAGGAGAGATTGAGAGTCTGACATCTATAAAAGTCCAAAAAGAAACAATTACCATCTGTTCTCTCTGAGGGAGGTTCCATCTACATAGCAAGACCACCTTTGCTAGCCAAGTTTCTTCCTTTCTCTCTCTCTTAACCTGTCTTGCCGCTAAACCTGATTAACCAACATAACCTGTTCCTGGCCATGCTCTGAGTCTGCATTCTTTATTGTGGCCTCAGGACGGCATATAAATTTCTATAACTCATTGAAAAGTTGGTTCTTCATTCTGAAGACTGCCATTATCCGTGTTAAATACATTTGTATATCTTTTCTCCTATTAATCAATTTGCCTCAAGTCAGTGATTTTTAGCAAACCCTTAGAGGGCCAAGATCCTCCACAATCCTTAGCAGCTGACATTCATCCTCAGGGTCAATGATTTGTCACAAGATTGACCTTGCAGCTCTAGCCTTCCATAGTTGTCTCTGTTCCAGGCAACAGGGAGGAGAAGAGGTAAGGTCAGAAGCTAAATTTTGAGCTCCCAGCAAAATCCTACCCCTGTAAAGAATTTTTCCAAAAACCCCACCCAATAACCAATAGCTTCTGCTAACTTCTTTTTTTTTTGGATGGAGTCTTACTCTGTTACTCAGGCTGGAGTTTAGTGGTGTGATCTTGGCTCACCGCAACCTCCGTCTTCTGGGTGCAAGTGATTCTCCTGCCTCAGCCTCCCAAGTAGCTGGGATTACAGGCACCCACCACAACGCCTGGCGAATTTTTGCATTTTTAGTAGAGACGGGGTTTCACCATGTCGGCCAGGCTAGTTTCGAACTCTTGACCTCAAGTGATCTGCCTGCCTTGGCCTCCCAAAGTGCTGAGATTACAGGTCTAAGCCACCATGCCCTGCCGAACTTCTAACTTCTTTCAGCCATCTATCTCTTCAAGAAAGTCTTTTATCCACGCCTCTTTGCAAATATGTACGTGTATATATATGTGTGTGTATATACATATATATGCAATTATTTGAGCACCATTATCTATATATGTGTATATATATGTGTGTGTGTGTATATGTGTGTGTGTGTGTGTGTGTGTGTATGTACAAATAATTCCTTCCCAAAGTTAGTTCGGCCTACGCCCAGGAATGCTGTGCCCAGGAATGAACAAGGACAGCTTAAAGGTTAGAAGCAAGATGGAGTCGGTTAGGTCTGATTTCTTTCACTGTCGTAATTTCCTCAGTTATAATTTTGCAAAGGTGGTTTCAATTATAATAACTGGTTTCAACCAATAAACATTTACTTCTGACATAAAGATGGAATCCCCTTTGATGAAGGGTAAATTCTTGAACAAATTTGTTATTCTGTTTATAAGGAAAAAATAAATAAGACATGAATATTTATTTAAAAAGCAAGAGAATGTAATATAATTTGTTTACTATTTGCTTAATTTCTTTCACTCCTTTTCTTTCATTCAAATCTACAGACTTCTCTATCTTCACTGCCATGATGCTAGTCAAAAAATACTAATATTGTTACTGGAAAAAAAAACTATACACATATAGCTTTTTAGCTGAATATATTGCTGATAATGTACGGACCTGTTACAGAGGAAGAAACAGAAGACAGAATAGGCAACTAGAAAGCTTTACAACATAAGTCTCACTATTCATAGTTATGTATTTGTGTGATAACAATGTTTGTTTTCCACTTCACAGTACAGCTCATGGAGGGGGCCTCTATCCTGGCATCTAACTCATAGGAGAGAATAAATATTTGTTGAATGAATGAATGAATTTGCCTATCTATTACATAATATTTTCCTCAGTATCAACTCTCACTTGTTCTTGTAATTTGAGTCATATAAAGCCACTTGTTGGATGGTTCTGAAAACTGGACAACATGGATTGTGTGAGATTTAGCCAATACAGATATAACTACATCTTCCTTTTAATAAAAGACTCTGACAAAAAATTCATGTAAAGACATTTCATAGTTCAACTGAAATATATGCAAATGTTCCAGCATCTAGAAAGTACCTGACCCACTCTCAACTGCTTTGGCACTCCAAGTCCGTCTTACATTAATATTCATATTGGGTTTCAAGAGAGGCATTTTGCTAAGTTTAGAACCTGCAATAACTCATGAGCTAAAGAAAAAAAAAATTTAATCAAGCACTAAACTTTGTGGACCCAGTTCATTTACCCTTGGCAGAATGCAGCTTCCAACAGAACAGCTTATATAGCTGATTATAAAAGCTATAAGAGTTCCCAGGACAGACGATGAGTCCAAGAAAGAAAACATCCCAGTAGTGATCTGATTATTTAACTGTTGAAGACTGAGATGTGTAATAACAGATGTTCCTTCCTCCAAAAGCAATTTTAAAAGCCAGATGGAAAAATAACATGAGACAACCATATTCTTCAATTTAACAAATTTCAGGTCCAGTTGAGAAGAATTTGGGTGAGGATAGGCATAAAACACTAGTCAAGGATCTTTTCAAAAATACAGAATTATAATGTCATATGCATAGCATTCTGCTGGGGACTAGACAGCTCATGCAGCCACAATGTTTATATTATTCTGGCTCAAAATGATATCTTTGCTTTAATTTATGTACTAACTAAAGAGAGTCTGGAGGTCACCACCCAACTACTCGTGAAGAGAGGGGTTGACAAAGGAAATGACATAATTTCTGCCAATGTAAAGCCGGCAATTTGACAGGGTCACTTTTATCTTCCTCATCTTAAAATACTTGCACATCTTAGGTAATGAAAAGAGAACCACCGCCAGAGAGAGTCTGAACCATGAATATCAATGAAAAGGAAGAAACAAAATGAAATAAACAAAATAAATACACTGCCCCAACAAAGAAACTCACATTCAGCAAGTCCAGTACACTGTGTGCTCCGTAGATTTCAGGCATCATGGGGGCTACAGCAGTGGATAAAACAAACATGGTTCCTATGCGCAGGACTTCATATCTTCAGAGGAATAAAGCCCAGAACCACCTGATTTGCAGTTGACATGTTTCATTCATTAGCATAGTGTATTTAAAACAAGAAAATGATGACGATAATCATGATAATAATAAAACAACTAATCAGTTGCTGATGGAAACTGCTTCCCTATTGCCCTGGAAGGGTGGACTTGAAAACTAAACACCTCATTCATTAAAGAGCTTAAGCCTCAATAGCATAAGTACATGCATAAGGACCCAAATTCTTGTCCTTGTTGGGCTGTGTCAGATTTTATTAATTTCAATTCTTAACACCATTTTGGGATACACCGACTTTGTTCATGTGTCTTCTTCAAGGTAAGCTGAATAAGTAGAGCAAACTGACAGGACCCCAGTTTGCTGAGGCCAAGTTGGCATGCTGGGAGCATCCACCAGCAAACCTCACAGAGCTGCTGGGGACAGAGTATTCTTTTGTTCCACATAGGATTTTCTAACATTGTCTAACTTTATTTTCTGTTGACAGAAGCTGCTATATATCATCACTTTATTAAAGTCATAAAAAAAGAACAATTTTATGTACTCCATGGGTTCTTTATTCAGTCATTTTCAGACGCCAGGTTGTTCCATAAAAAGGACTAGATGAACCGTGTTTTTGTCACAGATGCCATATTTTCAGAGGGGGTTGTACAGGCCCACCCCATAGGCAATAAGCCATAACATACATTACTCACACAAAGACCACAACAGAAGACTAGAATGACATTGCTTTTTAATTTTTAGATGAACCAGTGTGCAACAAGATATATCTCATGTTGAACAACCCAGTGCTATGATATAGGTCACCTAGGCTCATGTTCGAAACTCCAGCAGTATTGAGAGAAATAATAAATTCTTGCCAGGAAGATGAAGTTAGCATAATTTTTCCCTTTGTGTGGAAACAAAAATGGAAAGAAGCTAAATATAATACTTCAAAAAATAAAATTCACAATATTCTATAACAAAACTAGAAGAATGTAAGGAAATTTTTGGCTTATTCCAGTTTTCACAATCCACCACATAGAACAGAAATTATAATTTGAATAGAAAGTAGTATCTCTCTCAGTTTTCAAGAATATACTTCTTGTCAATGCGAAAGTACTGCTTGCAGAAATTTTAAATACCGCTTTTAGTAATAGGGTTGGCTGACAGCATGAAAGGCCCTTTCTGTGAGGAGAATTTATTGGTTTAACACAATTAGCTGATATATTTTCTCTCTGTTCCCGTAGCTGAATGTGGCCCATCCTATCAATACATATTTCGGTCTACTGTTTTCACATTTTCTGAAAAAATCTGTTGGACTAGCATACTTTAAAATCAAGATCTGTTATTATTTCTCTCGTATTTACTAGACAGTCAACTCTAGCCATTTTTTTTTTCTGAATCATCAGAAAAACAGATTTTGAGGCTTGTAGACTCACTATAATGACATCATTTCAGAATCATCATTATAGAATGAAGAATGTCCAGTTCTCCAGAGATAATAAGGACACTACTTTGCCATGAATTCAGGAAAAAAGTACTTGGAATGGTCATTGTGATTTAAAATTACAAGAACTGTTAATTTACAATGATATCACTGGAAAATATATATCAAGCTAAAAAATGCCGATAGGTGTTTAAAATTAGAAAAAGGGCTGGGAGCAGGAGTGCATGCCTATAATGCCAACACTTTGGGAGGCTGAGGCAGGAGCATCGCTTGAGCCCAGGAGTTAAAGACAAGGCTGGGCAATAAAGTGAAACCCCTGTCTCTACAAAAAATTAAAAAAAAAATTGCCTGGGCAAGGTGGTACACGCCTGCATTTCCAGCTACTGGGGAGCCTAAGGCGAGAGTATTGCTTGAGGTGGGGAGATTGAAGTTACAGTGAGCCATGATCCTACCACTGCATTCTGGCCTGAGTGACAGAGTAAGACCCTGTCTCAGGAAAAAAGAAAATAAAAAGCCTGCATCTCACCTCCTTTGATCACAGTCTTTTTATTTTTGGTGCTAATATCTAGAAAGAACAGTTTGTTTAGAGCAAACTGGGTGGAGCTTAATTATTACATTTGCAAAACATACAAACACAATTTTTTCTTCCTGACAAATTTTAGCCATTAGAATATCTGACTGATAAAATTAATAGTCATTATTTGCATAATTCATGGAGCATTGACGTATCTCTTTAGGGAAAGTAAGTCATGGGCATAAAATCCAGGTTAAGTGATGGTGCTGTGCTTTAAATGGATTCACAGTTTGACTGGGAAAAGTAAACTTTATCAAGAAAAACAAAATTTTCAAAGCTTACCTGTGCTGAAGGGATTCAATACAAGTGAAGTAATGAAGACTAGGACTAGAGATTGTGAACCCACAATCTATATCTGAGACAGGTCTCAGTCAATTTAGAAAGTATATCTTGCCAAGGTCAGGGATGTGCCCCTGACCCAGCCTCAGGGGGTCCTGACATGTGTTCATGGTGGTTGGGGCACAGCTTGGTTTTATACATTTTAGGGAGACATGAAACATCACTCAATATATGTAAGACGTTCATTGGTTTGATCCGGAAAGGCGGGATAGCTCAAAGCGGGGAGGGGGCTTCCAGGTCATAGGTAGATAAGAGACAAAGGGTTGCATTACTTTGAGTTTTTGATTAGCCTTTCACAGAATATACAATTTATAGGAAAAGTCACTGATACCTTAGTCTGGCTTAGTGAAACAGTAGGGCAAAAGAGGCAATCAGATATGCATTTGTCTCACATTGAGCAGAGGGATGACTTTGAGCTCTGTCTTTCCTTTGTCCACAGGGAATTTCCTCATGGGCAAATTGTGAGGGCAGTATGTAGCTTTTAAAATCTTTGTAGCTATCTTATTTAGGAATGGAATGGGAGACAGTTTTGCCCAGTGTAGTTCCCAGCTTGATTTTCCCTTTGGCTTAGTAATTTTGGGGTTGCGAGATTTATTTCCCTTTCACAAGATGGTAGGTAGGTATAGCTTGTAATCAGGAAAGGTAGACAGAAGTGTTACCCACCCAGACTTATTGGAGGAGATAACTAGATATTTTAAATAAAATTTTTATTAAAATGATGTAGATTCACATGCTGTTGCAAAATAATAGATTTCTTGTGTACTTTTCCACTTTTTCCTAATGATAGTTCTTTGCAAAAAACTATAGTATAATACAACGTTAACATTGATACAATCAATGATTTTATTCAGATTTCCTCAGTTTTCTCTGTACTTTTGTGTAGATTAAGCTCTATACAGCTTTGTCACATGTATAGGTTCATGTATCCATTACCAGTGTAAAGGTAACAAATAGTTCCCATGCCACAAAATCCCTTCTCTTGCCCTTTAATTACCACACACACCCACTCTCTGTTCCCATCCACAAATCATGTCACTCACCGATCTGTCCTCTCTTAAATGTTGTCATTTCAAAATTTTGTATAACAGGAATTATATAGTATTTAATCTTTTGAGATTGAGGTGTTTTTATGCTACATAATTCCCTAGAGATTTATTCATGTTGGGTGACACTGCTGTCGTGTGTTTCAGTAGGTCATTCCTTTTAATTGCTAAGTGGTAGTCGATGGCATGAATATACCACAGTTATTTCACCTGTTGAAGGACATTTTGGGTGATTCCAAGTCTTGGATATTACAAATAAAGCTATTATAAACATTCTTGTACAGATTTTTTGTGTGAACATAGTTTTCATTTTGAGGGATAAACGCTTGAAAATGTAATTGCTGGGTTATATGGGTAACTGCATGTTTAGTTTCTTTTTATAAGGGAAGTGGATTTTTAATTTACATGAAGAGCACTGTGTTTCCTATATTTAGTTCTTATATCAATAACTAAAGAAAACTCCCTGGGGCCTGGCAGTGTGGCTCATGCCCATAAACCCGGCACTTTGGGAGGCCAAGGTAGGAGGATTGCTTGAGCCCAGGAGTTTGAAACTATTCTCAACAACATAGTGAGACCTTGCCCCTACCAAAAAACAAAACAAAACAAAACACACGAAAGAAAGAGAGAGAGAGAAAGAGGAAGGAAAGAGGAAAGAAAGAAAGAAAGAAAGAAGAAAAGAAGGAAGGAAGAAAGGAAGGAAAGAAAGAAAGAAAGAGAAAGAAAATCCTGGTGCTGTCATTAAGCAGTGAAAATCACAAACATTTTTGGGATTTTAATGGAAGTTTCAGATGATCTCATCAGGAAAAACATCATCACCACAATTATTTAGTTTCACTAAATCTGTGTTGCACACTATTTTAAGAGTCTCTATACATTAACTCAGTTGATTCTTAACACAACATCAATATATAGGAACCTGAGGCACAGGGACATTAAGCACCTAAGGTCACAAAGCTAGTATACGGCAGAGCCATGATCCAAACCTAGGCACTGTTATTTCAGAGTCCAAACAAACATCCCAAACAGCATATTGAAATCAATTTCAGGTATATCTCTACACCTCAGTGGACTTTATTGAGATGTATTTCATATACCATAAAATGTACCGATTAAAAAGATACAGTTCGGTGTTTTGGAACATACTGGGTTGTACACCATCACTACAATATAATTTTAGAACATTTTTGACTCTCCGACAACACTCCAAAACAAAACCCTGTGCACATTAGCAGTCAGTCCCCATTCCCCTTCTCCACTCCCCCACTTCCAGCCTCAGGCAACTGCTAATCTGCTTTCTGTCTCTACGGATTTGCCTAGTCTGGACATTTCACATAAATGGAACCATACAATACAATATTTGGTCCTCTGTGACTGGCTTCTTTCCCTTAACATGATGTTTTCAAGGTTCATCCATGCTGTCACGTGTGTTGGTACTTTTTTATTGCTTAATACTCTTTGATGTAGGATTATACCACATTTTACTCATCTGTTCATTAATGACCATTTTGGTTGGTTTTACTCTTCGGCTATTATAAATAATGCTACTATGAACATTCACTTTTGAGTTAATACATAGATATATGTTTTCATTTATTGTGGGTATATACTCAGGAGTAGAATTGCTAGGTCATAAGGGAACTTATGGAACATATGGGAGCTGTCAACACTTATATTGTCCTTTATATATTTTAGCCACCTTAGTGTATCTCAGTGTGGTTTGATTTGCATTTTCCTAATTATTATTGAGGTTAAGAATCTTTTTAATGTGTTTTTTGATTCTTTGTGTATCTTCAGAGAAATGTCTTTTCAAAACCATTGCCTATTTTCTAATTGGTTGTCATTATATTGCTGAGTTGTACAGGTTTTTTAGGTATTCTAGATAAAAGTCCCTTGTCAAATATGTCAATTATATTTTCTCCCATTCTGCCAGTTTTTTTTCTTTCTTAATGGTTGCTAGATAAAAGTTTTAATTTTAATGAAGTTCAATTCATCAATTTTTCTCTTGTCACTTTTGCTTTTTGAGTCATATCTAATAAACCATTGCCTAACCCAGGGTCACAATGATTTGCTCCTGTTTAATTTTTAGGAGTTTTAGTTATTTGTTCTTAAAGTTCAATTTGTTATCTATTTGTAGTTAAGTTTTTGTATGATTGAGGTGGGTTCCAAATCCATTCTTTTTTATGTGCATATCCAGTTGTTCCATCATATTTGTTGAAGAGATTATCCTTTTTCCATTGAATTGTTTTGACAATCTTGTCAAAAATCAACTGTTCATCAATGTGTGGGTTTATTTCTGAACCCTCAATTCTATTCCATTGATCTACATATCTATCTTTATGCCAGTACCACACTATCTTGATTATTATAACTTGGTAGTAACCGTGAAATTTGCAAGTTTGAATCTGCATCTGGGTTCTGTTCTTTTTTCTTTTTTCAAGATTGTTTTGAGTATACTGGATCACTTGCATTTCTTATACGTTTTATTATCAGTTTCTCTATTTTTGCAAACAAAGCAAATCAAACAACCCAGCTGGGATTTTGATGAATCAAATCCCACTTGAAAATAAATTGGGCCTAGGGAGCGGCTGAAATGTTTGATGCCCCAATAGTAAGATAGTCAAAATTGTGTTATGCTTGTCTTCATGGAAAACCTAAAATTGAGGTTTACATTCAATTTAAAATGGAAAGAACATCTGAATCAAATCCCAGCTGGGTTGTTTTGTTGTAGATTCAACAAAATTAAGTTACTTTGTGTCAAAGGACAAAGGGACCTTACCCTAGGCAGTTCATTCTTAGTAGAGGTCTAGCTTGTTTTTTCAGACTTTTTTGCTGTAACTGTACCCAAGGTCTCACCGATGCAATTACCCAGTTGGCGATAAAAAGCACTGTGCTCTGGCTGGTCTCCAGTAAGTCCAACTGTAACACTGATGAGGGACTGGTCACCTCTGAGAAGGACAAGGAGTCCACTCCTATCAATTCCTCTATTTCCTTCATTCCTGCCAAAGTTTATAACCTTTCAGAAATTCTATTTAGTTTCTTAGTCCTTGGGCAATATTGAAGTGCTAGGATTGTCTGGTTTGAAAGTTGTTTCACAGTCATGTAAAACTCAGGTGCAAATTTGTTACTCAAGATATTCTTACAATATAGCTTGCTTGTCTGGTAAATTATTCCTGTAAAATAGATGTGGTTTCTGAACTTATGGAGCTATAGTCTAGTTGGAAAGACATTATATAATTACAGAAGTATGTTGAAACGAACTGATTTTTGAGGATCCATATTACATCAGATAGGTAAAGACAGGCAAACTTGAGGAGTATTGGTTTGGAAATATACATAGTTATCTGGGCCTAGGGAGTGGCTGAAATGTTTGATGCCCTAATAGTAAGATACTCAAAATTGTGTTACACTTGTCTTCGTTGAAAACCTAAAATTGAGGTTTATATTCAATTTAAAGTGGAAAGAAAACATGGAAACTGAGCACATCTCAGGGCTTCAGCTTTTTGTGTCATTGTAGATGAATGATAATTCATTGTATTTTGTTTTAGAAAATTGTAGCATAAAATCAAGGTCCCTTTATCCAAATTCTTAGAGTTCTATTAGTAATTAAATATCTACCCCGTGACTATGTTATTAATTCAGCCTATAACACTGTAACGTAAAAGTGATTGAAAAGCTGCTAAAATGTACTAGTTAATACAAAATGTAGCTCGGAAGAGAGAAATCTGAATTCCCTTGCAGACATTAGCTTCTTAAGTCTGAGTCACATTAAATATGGATACATTCAAATCTCTATATTTAAATGTCTGAGTTTTATATTATTTAAATATTTTTCTTTGGCCTATTTCTGTAACTCATCTTCCTCTGACATAGGATGATTGGTCATGGGGAATAGATTCAGCTTGTCCATTTGGTACTCTGATGGTGGTCATCTACTGTATTGCCTCTTCCTAAGTCTCTTCACCAAGGAATTCCTGCTGTCCCATTCTCACTCCCTGCTTAGGCCCTTTGAGAATTTAGCCTCTTTGAGGACTGAGGAGAATGCTTATGGGTGGATGTGGTAGCCTTGGTGTCAACAGAGAGTAATAGGCCATAAATAAAAAGCAATGATTTTTTAAAGCTAGACAGATCTGGATTCAAGTCATGCCCTGTACCACTGTGCTATCTGGGTAAACTTGGACAAATTATTCACGCATTCTTGCACTCTGTTTGTTTTAATGTTCAAAATGGAAATAATAATGCTGCTTTCACAAGATTTTTCTTAGGAAGATAAAATAGATATGAAGCCATAAGGTAAGAATTAGGTGTTTAGTACATTCCAGTTCCCTTCCATGCCCTTTCTGCTGATATAAACCTAAAGGTACCAACCATAGATGAACAGTGGTTGCTACAGACTGAATATTTGTATTCCTCCAAAATTTATGCATTGAAACCTAATGCCCAATGTGATGTTATATGGAGGTGGGACATGTGGGAAGTGGTTAGGTTATGAGGGCTCCACTCTAATGAATGGGATTAGTGCCCATATAAAAGAGGCTCCAGGGAGTTCTCTTGCCCTACTCTGCCATGAGAGACTAAAGTGAAGAGACAGTCATCTATGAAGCAGAAAGTGGATTCTCACCAGAAACTGACCATGCTGGCACCCTGATCTTGGATTCCCCAGCTGACAGAATTGTGAGAAATATATTTCTGTTGTTTATAAGTCACCTACCTAGTCAATAGTGTTTTGCTGTAGCAGCCCAAATGGACTAAGACAGCGGTTAAAAGTAATTGCTCAGAAGTCTTCACATTACATGGGGCACTTGACTTTTACACTTAAAAGGAGTGCATTTATTTTTGTAAATCATACTTCAATAAAGCTGATTTCAAAAAGTGGGGTACTTGAAAGCAAGCTCAACTCAGAATGGCTCTAGATCTCTCCATCGACCTTCTTTTCTCTGTAAGGTATGCACATCATCTTTTTACAAGCACTGTGATTTTCTCAGGCAAAGATTGGAGAGTGACTTGTCTACAAAGAATACAAAAGACCTTTTTTCAACTGCTTAGACTCAGAGTAGTCTCCCTTTATCCACAGGAAATATGTTTCAAGACCCTCAGCAGGTACCTGGAACTATAAATAGTACCAAACCCAAGTGCTGTCAATTGAACACATTTCTGTTTGCCTTCTACCTTCAAATTTAATGTCTTTTCTATCTTAACTAAGCACTCATCTCACGCTGTGGCCATAACTTTTGTAGTTTGAGGTGTGATGGCAAAAGTAGCCAGCATTTCTCCTTCTAATTCCTCCTGAATTTATTTCTCCTCCTTTATAATTTCAGAGATAGAAAATTCGTTCTTACTGCAGACCTTAACAACCTCAGCATATGATTTTTTTCCTTATTAAATTGAGAACATTTACCTTTTCACTTAAAGCACTTTATAGCTTCTCTTTAGTGTATCCGAATTGCCAGCATCACTACTCTTACAGTTTGGGGCCATCATCAGGTAAAATAAGGGTTACTTTTGTACAAGCATCGCACTGTAGCAATTGATCTAACAACCAGGCTCCTTAGTGACTAATAGGCAAGTAGCATCTACGGTGTGGATATGCTAGGCAAAGGGATGAATCATGTCCCAGGTGGGACAGAGAGGGATGGCACAAGATTTCATCATGCTACTAAAAATGGCGTGTAATTTAGAACTTATGAATTGCTTATTTCTGTGATTTCCCATCTAATATTTTCAGACTGTGGTTGACCAAAGGTAACTAAAACCAAAGAAAACAAAACCTTGAATTAAGGGAGAATTACTGCATCTTATGACTATATATACATACAAACTTTGATTTTTAAAGTTAAAGGTTAGTATGCTTTGAAGACGTCTTAGGTTGATCACGGGATCCTAGCTATTCCTTCCTCACTACTCCGCAGTCAGCACAGGGGTAGCCTAGAATGAATAAGGTGGTTAGGTCAATATGTTTTGCTAGTTGGTCACCATCCTGGGAAAGATATAATACTTTGATGCAGCTGAAGCAGATGGATACCTATTTCAAATGGTATGTATGCTATATAAACACACGATTCTCTCATGAAGAACAATTCAATAATATCAGCCAACAAAATGCACACACTTTGTGTAAACCACACTATATTTTTCAGTTTGATGATGATCTCATTTATATTTTCATATACGTCATGGTAAATAGTGCTCACTCCTTGTCATTATACTCAATCTGTTTACTGGCTATGGGATCTCTCTCTTCTTTTTTCTTAAGTGTGTGTGTACATCTATTTACCTTTCCATTGAGGTGAAAATCTCTTTCTAGCACTGTTACAAATTTTACGATATGAGCTGCTTTATGCTTGTCTCTACTTACCAAGATATGCTGGATTTCAATGGCTGAAGGGTTTATTTTCCCTTTGAAATTGTAAGCCAGAGGAATTATTTTATACCAACAAATTTTCATTTTATTTTTCTTGCCTAGAGGTATTCTATGATTTATTCTTCTTCTGGTTATATATTTAAAGATACAATAGATAAAACACACTCCAATCCATTTTCTCTCTCTCCTTTCTTTTTCTTTAAAGCAGCTTTTATTTATTTTTATATTACTAACCCAGGGCAAACTCATTTGTGCTTTCAGTTCCCCAACCTTGAATAATCAGTATCTTAAACATTCCTCTGATAAAATAAGGTCTAGATTTCCAATAACTCTGTAAATATTTGTGTCCTATATGTTGAATCATTCGTCAACTAAAATCATTCAAGTCAACACTGAAATCAGTTCATTTGGGGTTGATGAGGGAATAGTCGATCTTTGATGATAAAAGCAGTTACTGAGATCTCAGTGTGGGCCATTTTCTGTTCCCTGCAGTGAAAAGTTATTTGATTCTACGAGTCAGGTGCCCTGGATGGCATTTTTCTCCCATTTCTGCCTGGCCTAATTCCACCATTCAAGATAAAGCTCAGATATTATCTCCATAAAACCTCCTCAGTATGTCTGGAACTTCTTTTCTGCTGATTTCCCCATACTTCTTGGTTTATTTATCCCTTATGGCACCTATCCTGATTGAAATTATAATAGTTGCTTATAAACATGTTCCATCTCCCCCACTAGATTATTAAACTTGTTTAGCAATATAACAACTATCTCTAATCTACCATCTGTTGCCTCAAAGTATTCAATATATTGCCTTCCACGTATTGGTCACTCAGTACATGTTTATTGAATGGGTAAGTGGATACCAAAGCATTTTAGGTAGAGCTTTTCTAATGAGGTGATATTTGTGTTTTAAGAAAAAAATCTGATGTCTCAAACTACCTTTGTAATAATTATTCAAATGCTTATTATCAAATTGTCCAGATAAGTGTAACTCACATAAATTCCAGAGCTCTTGTGGGTCAGCATGTTCCATTGAAAGAAATATGTCTGAATCTGAAAGCTGTGAAGAATATCATAAAATTTTACTATATCCTGAAGTGTGTCACAGGAGTTTTACACAATACATCACGTAAGAAGACTTCCTAAAAATATTCTATCTTTCTCCAAGATTTCTCATCCATGGTTTCAACTAAGAATATTTTATTCTCTCCAGTGAAATTTTTTACAATTAGGATTGCAAAACTACATACATTCAGGTAGATCTGTGCACATCATTATCTATTTGGAAAACTGTCTGTAGAATTGTGCCGTGTACCATCCATCCAGCCATACGCAGCAGCCCACAGTCATGCTGTTCTCCATTCATTTATACATTCTCTACATCATGTTACTTGCACACAAAAGTCCTTACACATGGCTCTAAGCCATTTTTAACCCCCTGGAAAGTGTAATTCCTTGACTTGGCACCCTTTCTCTTAAGAATTGATGTCCCTTGCAATTCTGATGAATACGAGTCTCTACCTAATTAGACAAAAATCAATTGCGATCAATACTCAAGAAATGAACCCCCTACACAACACTCTAAATTTGCTTTCTGATCCCTAGCAGGAACAACTGTCTATTCATTCATATACTCAATACTTTAGAACATACTGGGTACAAGGAATCATACTATATGCTGGAAATAAAATAATCAGTGATGCTGTCCTTGATTTTAAGGAATTTAAAACCCAAGTATGGAAGCCAAACAAGTAAATTGACAATCATAAAAGTACTATAAGAAGCATAAGTAAGGACTGCTATAGAAATACACAAGTGAACTTTTCAAGGCATGCATGAAAGAGAAAACATTCTATAGAAGTTTCATTCATTTACTTAATAAGTTAATATTCAGCCGGATCTGGTACTAGGTGCCATGTTAACAAGTCTGTATTTTATCCAGAAGGAAATGTGGAACTATTAATCACTGTTAAGCTTGCATGTGGCATAATCAGTTTGGTATTCAAGAAAATTCTGAATTACTCCACAGGTAAAGTTTTATTGGGATAACAAAGGGAAAGAAAAGGAGTAAAAAGTTATTAGAGGTTACTGATCATAAGGAATAGGATGAACAAGGAAAGAAAATTCAGTGACTGAAAAGCAAATAAATAGGAACATAGCAAAAATTCAGGACTGGCTAAAGAACTTGTATAGTGTAAATAACAGAGTGAGAAAAATCGAGAGATCATGATTCAGAAATGTTTTAGGATTTTTAGATGTAGAGGAATTTTAGGGGACAGTAGATCTAGGGTGTACCCAAAAGGGAAGACAGCTGAAATGTTAGATAGTTGAGATGAAGACCAGTGGAATTGAGGAGGCCATAAACTTGGATGGGTACTCCCCTTGGAAGCTGAGTTTAGCCACTTCGATGTTTGGACTCAAAGTAAAGTATAAAAAAGACAGTAGTCTTATGAGTTTATCATAGTGGATAAGACACTATTTCAGGAGGCAGATTGCAGCATACTAATTGTATGCTCTTCGGCAAGTTACTTAGCTCTTAGATTTTCCTCTGGGAAATGGGAATAATAATGGCATGTATCTCAAAGATTGGAGGTTCTTAGAATGATCTCTGGCATGGAGTAAGCTCTAAAAATGTTAGCTATTATTTTAATTTATATTGTAATGATATCATTAAAAAGTTTTAAATTTCTTAAGTTTCTGTTGCTTGAGCAAAAATAAATGAGAAACCACAGAAACATGTCTCAGTTCCTGCTGTTAGAATGATGGTGAGAACTATAGGATATCTTATAAACTGATTGCAAAAGTATGCCTTGGAGTAACAAATAATGGCTTAAATTTAGTTTTATGAAAAGCTTTTAATTTAGGTTTGCAGTAACATATGTTATATTTTAATTAAGCATGAGTACTGGTTTATTCTTCTGGTACAGGAGTGTCACAATTAACTTTCTCAAAGTCTCCTTTGATTCAATTTTTAATGTCAGTAACATAATTAACTACTCTCTTTGGCTTTGGGTTATCATCATGCAATGAGAAACTAGAGCATGAGTCAGTAAAAGGAAGGGTTGATGAGTTCACAACTGGCTAGCTTTTGTCAGGTTTATATCTTTAACTCCACATCAGCTAGCTTCAGTGTCTTTGGCCCAATATAATCTAATAGGAAAGATTAGCTAAAAGTAAAAAATATCTTCTGCAATTCCAAAATAATTGAAATTACATAGATTGATAATACTATCCTGTCCACAAACTGATTCAAAGGTTCTATTCATCTGACTTACATTGAATCAAATTTATCTAATACTCCAGACTTCTTACCGTAACTAAATTCGAAGTCTGAGTGCTTAGTAATCTCAGTTATCTATTTACTTTAAAAAGTAGGAATACTATAGCTGGTAAAATAGAATTACTGTCTATTCTTTGGAACATTATAGTTTAAACAACTTGGTGGTCTTTGTATTCTCAGATATAACTAAAAGGCTATTCAAGTGATTACATAAATTTTATTGTGAAGAAATACTCTTGGGACGATATAAAGGATCCCCATCGAGTTGTCCTCTAAGATACTCTATAATTAGAGCAGTTTCTTACTAATAGTATACATTTTGAAGTTCATATCTGAAGTTATTTTTATGACTTGGAATAGGGGAGCAACTATGAAGTGGCACAAATCTAATGTTGTATGAGCATTTATTGGTTGAATTCTAGGCCATCCCCAACTTTTATACAAAATACATTTTAAACATTCCATTCTATTGTTGGAATGTGAGAAAGTAAACTTGTGTGTTTGTGGGAGAAGGAGACATATAATGGGATGAGGGGGACTGGTTGAGAATGTTCCATATCTGAATTAAAAAAACCCTAATTTTACCTGTGTGTTCAGATACAATTATCAAGGATATACTTCCAGTACTGCATATATGTTCTCTTGATTTTGTTACCCGTTTTAAATTGTGTCTTCACAATTTAAAACTGAAATTTTTAATTTCACAATCAAAACTGAAATTTTGATAAGCACACCACCAATGACAATCGCATCTGTAAGAACTAATTGTTTTATATTTTGCAGCAACATTTTCCTTAGGAAAGAGTGGTACTCAATAAGGAGAAGTGATGTAGGTCAGAAAGCTTGGGCAGCATGGTACACTGGTTAAAAGCATCGACTCCACAGTCAAACTGCCTTAGTCCAAATTGTTACTTAATAAAGTTAAATTAAGCTTTTTGGAAAGCTGCTTTATTTCTATATTCTGGTTTCTCATGTAAACCTCATAGGGTCTTTGCAACTGTTGACTGAAATAAAACATGTAAATTGATTAAAATCATGACGGGCACAAAGTAAGTGTTCAATTAACAATAAAAACAATTTATCTGGGCCAGAAACTATACTGTGCAGTTTACATATTACAATTCAGTTAATTTTCATATGCAGAGTGAAGAATCTCAAGCACAGAGAGGTCCAGTAGCTTATAGCAATGGAATTTCCATCTCAGCAGATGACTGTTGAATTCAGTGTTAATTGATTTACAATACTGACTCTTAAATAATGTTAATTGCCATTATTCCAATTTTTGGATGTCTATTTTTGAAAAAAAAGTTTCTAAGTTTTGGGTCTTCTGTGTAGGTTCAGTACATTTTGGGGGTCTGGATAACTTAGGATGGCATCTTCATCACTGAGTCTTTTCTTTTACCTTTAACTCATTGACTTCCTTCTGTTTGGTATAAACATTCATCACAGATGCTATAAAAATTCAAATCCAGTACTAACTACCCAATGAGACAGTAGGCCCCTTGATTGATAGCAGGAAACACAGGAATCACTAGTGCCATGCTGAGGACACATGACGGGGTCTACAGCATTTTCAGATAGATGCTTATGTAACTAATGACTTCAGTTTATTTTAAATACATATGTAGGAGGGTTGAAGCCTCCTATGAGTACAGAAAGGTTATCCCAACGCATTATTTAATATATCTTCTGATGAGGCTCGTAGAGATTCTAGATTTTCCTAATTATTGCTCTGGTTAAGCAATAAATAACAAATTGATCATTATGTAATGGCATAAATATGAATCCATTAAAATACTGTCCCAACTCTGGCTCTTATTCTTCCATCTAGCTGCCAAAGGAACCCAGAAAGTAGATACTCCAGGAATTCTGACAATGCAAATTATTCAGGTTTCCCAGCATGTCCTGCGGGCACAATGAGGCCATACCAGCTCAGGCTGTGCACTCTGATCCACACTTACTAAACTTTCTGTAATTTCCATAAAAGTCAGTTATGCATGAAGAACAATTCAGCCAAAATTGGATACTTTTACTGACACAGCACTTCTTGGATGACAAAACCAGAGACTTTGTAGGGTCTTAGACCTGGCATTAGGTATCATAGAACTTTCTCTTATTTATTGATGATGGAATAGATCATGTGTGCAGAAAAATCTGAATGAAATAATACTTGAGGCATTTTAGATCATTTCTATGTGTAATGCCATCTTAAGAATGTACATAGGATTGAGGTTTCAGGTCTTTCTAAGTGGAGTTTTCTTGTTTATTGATTCGTCAAATATTCTAAAATTGTACCAAGGAATGATAATTCATATTTCTATTTTCACAAGTATTATATTTAACAACATGGTTTTAATAGAAAAGAGATCATTAGGAGGTTGGCTTGTGTGCCTTATTGCAGCTTAGTTACTCCCACCTGTAAAGAAATACACCTCTACATGTTGCATAGTACAATTAGAAGTACATGCAGAATGAAAGCCACAGGGCCAGAAAGAGGCCAACCATCTGAGAGCATATTATAAAGTGACCTATGGCCCTGCTAAGGCTTTAGGGTCAGAGATGAGTAATACTGGCTTCAGAAGACAGATGACCAACAGATAGAAAACTCAAGCACTGTAGCACACATTTTATCCAAAATAAAAAATAATAATATGAGCTTAGGATTGACTGAAAGACCTTTTTTCTCTGGCATAATTTGGAGGTTTATGGGTCAATGAAGAGTTCACAGGGCTGGTATCACTAGCCCATGAGTTCCCAAATCATTGCCTTTTCTTCTCAGTACTCCAGGTACTTTCTAAACACAGCATTACTCTAACCAAGTTTACAATGCACAAGACTGGATAATATATTACAACGCATAATGTTTTAAACATTAAATAATATTCTACTTTGTATTGAAGAGTTAAGCATTTTTTTTCCTAACTAGGTCATAAACTTTTTTGAGGGTATAGTATATTGACATGAGTGTGTGTGTGCTCCAGAGAACCTAACATATGAGTTTCATAGCAGTTTTTTAAAGAATGTTCATTGAATTAAAGTACACAAAGGTCATTGAAGGATTAATGTCATTGGTCAGTTGCAAAGAAATAATACGGATGCTAGAAATAGCATAACTATGAATACAATAGAGACTCTAAAAAGAAACCATAACATGTATTTAAAAATTATTTGGTCTAGGTTAAAAACATTTGGCTAAACAGCTGGGCTATTTACTACGAATAAGAGTCACAATACTAAACAGTGATTAATACTACCAGCAATTCTGAGCTATTGTGTGGATCTGTTTTATTCCTCCAAGGGTCACTTTTATGGCAAACGAAATGAGGCAGTAACAGACAACACAAATGTTATACTTATTTAAGCATTCGGAAAAATAATGCAAACTAGCACTGTTGCTCTTACTTATAATATTAAACTCTAATGAATTATTGGTAAACCTAATACTGATATAAAGTTCCCATTTATTATACCATGATTTCTATTGGGAAGAACATAATATACTCAAATCTGTCAGTGTTACAATGAAGAATCATATTTGGTCAGATTCCAACAGAACATGAAATATTGCTAACATTTTCCTTGCTATTAATACTTGTGCACCCTGAAGTGGGCCAAAGATTGAAATTGAATCAAGGAAGATGTAGAACATGTGAAAACACCTACCTTAGTGGAATATTAAGTTCTGTAGCTCTCTCCTAATGTAGGTAAAAAATTGTAATATGAATATAAGAATAGTGGAAGTTATTTTATAATTCCTGTGATTTGTGATTGTCGGTTTACAGTTTTCTAGTGCTCAAAGTAAAACACAGCAAAAAGTAATTTTGACATGCTGCAGCAGAGTTGCATAGTCGTATACTGGTGCGGCTCCATGGGTTTATAGCATCCACATCATGGAAACCATAGCAACAGCAACGACCTCCTCTGTAGCACTGAAAATGCAAGTCTCTAGTGTCATAGCTTCATTCTAACCACTGTAAGAGAGAACTTAATAAACACATAAATCATTTAGCCTGTAGACTGAAAATTGTTAATGTCCTGTTTTTGACTTCCTTCAGTGTTTGTTTGAGACTTGTCAGATTTAGACTCTGTTGGGTCCCATTCCAATACCTTTTCAAGTTCCTCCCATCCGTCTGGGTCTTCCATCCAGGCTCTAATCAGAGTGGCAGAAGTTGGCAATGTTGTTCATGTGTGAGGTCGTTTTTAGCATCATTATCATCATCATTATTTGTATCCTTTCGTTACCTATTGGGCTTAAAAATGTCTCTGAGTCTTCATATTGGCTGTAATCAAGAGAGAATGGTTTCAAGATAGATGAGAGGAGAGTAGTTAAACAAAAGATTACAGTTGAAAAGGCTCCAAAGTTTAAATTCACCATGTATAGCCAAATGCACAGAGTTTCATGAATCCTCGGTATGGGTTAATTTCTTGATTCAAGATGGAATATCTCAGGATCTTTATTGGAGTAAGTTGGCTCACTCCCAAATTTATGGGACTGTAAAGTAGTATAATTTTTTTAAAAATAGCATGTTTTTAATATTGTTCTCAGTGTCTTGAAATTTCATCTTTTACAGTTCTCCCTGATCTCTCCTTCTCATTCAACTAATCACACATTCACCCTTCAAGATTTATCAGGTGCTATCTCCTCCATATATTCTTGACTCCATCTCTTCCCCTACTTTCTCCTATTCCATGCTTTCACTCATCATAACCTTTATAGGTATGTAATTAACCTATTAATCTTTCTTTCAATTAAGCTGAAAGCTCCTTCGGGGCAATAATCTTGTTTGCTTCTTCTTTTAAGCCCCTAACAAGCACTAACCTTGACATGTAAAATATGCTTAATACATGTTCGTTAAATTGGATGAAAATCAGTGGAACCATTCTAAACTAGTAAGAGCTTTGGAATTGTAAATTGTTAGAAATGCATCTGGAACTGTGGTTCCCAAATACTTGTTCACAATCTAGTGCTGGATTGATAAGAAATACTTGAAGATTTTTAGAAACATTTGATTTATGGACCCCATCTTCAGATATTCTAATATAGAATATTGGAAAGGTATGTTGCATTGTGTGATTTTTGAAAAATATCCAGTTTTTAGTCCCTTTGAAATGATATTGGTAAAACAGATGTTCTGAAGTTTCCCTCATTCATAATATCCTGAACATACTACATTCAAACTCAAAATCAAATAGGTATATTTAGCTGAAGGTAAGTTTCATGGGAAGTTGGCTAGTGGGAGCTATTTTGGAAAAGCATCTCTTAAACTTCCTTCTTCTCCCCCAAAATAGTTCAGAACAGGAGGAACTAGAGCAAAGATGGTTGTTATCAATAGAGACTCACCTCTTCCCCCAAATATTTTCATTGTTAATAGTTCATATCTGTTGTAACTGTCAGATTTTTATTTAAAAAATTCCTAAATCAAATGGGATATTCAAAAACAATGTTTAAATATGTGTTTTTTAAATTTTACTTTATCCAGTGAAAAGATTTTGTTTTTTCTCTAGATTTTGTTTTTTGTTTTTGCTCTAGATTTTGTTTTATCAATCCAAAAATATCTGTATTTTTCCTTCATTATTTACGAGTACTCTCGCAGGGTAGAGAATTCTAGCTTATCAGTTACTTTCTATCAGCTTAAAGATATGTCTTAATTGTCTCCTAGCTTCAAATGGTAGTAGAGAGAAGTCAGCTGTTTGTCATTTTTTCTTAGGGCAACTTATCTTTTGTTCCACTACTTTTAAGACTCCTAATTGTCTTGGGTTTTATCAAGTTTATTATGTCTTTGTGTATTTTTAAAACACACACAAACACATCATATATTTAAATATATCCTCCTTGAATCTGTGAATTGGTGAATTATTTAGTTATTAGAAATCCCTAGCCATTTTCTCTTCAAATATTGCTTCTGCATTCTCTCTCATCCTCTGGGACTCCATTTCAATGCCTTTTAGATTTTCTAACTGTAAAAGGAATGTCAATTTCCCTCCTGTATTTTTTATCTTTTTTTTTTTTTTTTTTTTTTTTTTGAGACAAGAGTCTCGCTCTGTCACCCAGGCTGGAGTGCAGTGGCGATCTCCGCTCACTGCAAGCTCCGCCTCCCGGGTTCACGCCATTCTCCTGCCTCAGCCTCCTGAGTAGCTGAGACTACTGGCGCCCGCCACTACGCCCGGCTAATTTTTTGTATTTTTAGTAGAGACAGGGTTTTACCGTGTTAGCCAGGATGGTCTCAATCTCCTGACGTCGTTATCCGCCCGGCTCGGCGTCCCAAAGTGCTGGGATTACAAGCGTGAGCCACCGTGCCCGGCCTTTTTATCTTTTTTTCTAATATTTAATTTTGTGTAGTTTCTTTTTACCTTTTAGTTCACAAATTTATCTGCATCTTGTCACATCTCTTGTTAAATACTCAATCAGTTGTTCTTAATTTCAGTTATTTCTACAATTTCTTTTTTGATGCTTTAATGTTATTTGTCATAATTTTCAGTTCCTTTGCTAATTTTTTTCAAGTTTGATTATTATCTTTGAAATAGAGATCGTTATTGTTAGCCTGTGTCTGAAAATTCCATTATCTGGAGTGCCTTTGCATCTCCTTCTCTAGTTTCTGGCTAATTTTGTTTAATCATCATGTATAATTTGTAATGTATTCTGGGTATATTGTTAGAAAAATATTTTTAGAAATAATTTCAAATCTGGGAATAGTGTTAGCTTCTTCAAGGGAGAATTTTGCCCTTTGTTATAAGACATATGAGGGCAGTAGCAGGCTGAGAACCAAGGGCTGAGGGTTTTATGGTTTAACTAGAATACTAGCCAGAGCATAGACTGTACCATCATTTCAGAAAATAGTTCTCCAGGGTACCAGTTCAGAGCATGACTGTTATACTGGTGTCTTTGTCTTTGGTAGGCACCAAACTACAGACCTCATTCTTTCTGCCCCATAGAGCAATTAAGACTCTCAATGACTTTCAAAAAGTTAGAAAATGGTCTCAGGGCAAAAGTATCAATGTTTCGGGTACACAGGAAGTAGAGGCTCAGGACTGAGACACATGCATTGTATACCTCTGGTCGTTAGCCAGGACTTATATTTGAGTGTGTGCCCCTGAGGCAAAAACAATTCTGGCTCACCTCTGAGCAATAGTCCTTTTTCTGTTCTCATCCTGATAATTTGTGAGTCTCCTGTAAGGTCTCTGAACTTTTTAAAAGGTGCTTTTGTCAAGCCTCCTTAGTGGTTATTACCAGGGGAATTAGTCCTATTTACTAGGATTGTCAATGACTAGACACTGTACTGATGAATTGTTATTTATTAATGGTTGTTATTCATTTTATGTTGGTTTATGGTTTATCTTTTCCTCCTTTTTTCTGGCTTGACTCTCCTTAGTTGTTATTGCCAGGAGAATTAGTCCTATTTACCAGGACTCTCAATGACTAGATACTTCACTGATGAATGATTTATTAATGGTTGTTATTCATTTTGTGTTGGTTTATCTTTATTTTTTCTGGCTTGATCAAATTGCTACTCATTTCCTTTTCTATTTATTAATTTTATAACTCCAATAAATGTTTTAATAAATTAATTATTGTGTTCCTAATCTCAATATCCATTATTAAAAACACATTGCTTTATGATTACATGAAATCAAGATATCCAAGCTATCCACGATCAATATTTTCCTGCTAATAGACTGAAACTTTTCAAATATTTTTATATCCATTCTACTCCTCCTTGAAACATGAGACATTTGGGATTGTTTTACTTGGTCTCCTTTTTCCAACCACACCTACCCTCTCTACCAAATGCTAAGCTGTATTAACAATATTTACTTGATAGTGGGTTTCTTATACTTAAGGAATCCTTAAGTATCCTTTGGTACTTAGGTCACACATTTCTAGATAGCTTACTAAGTACGTATTGATTTGACTTCATAGGCGTTGCAGTGCTCTTTGCTTAACACCACGTGTCTATTTCTGACATATGTTGCTTTCTAAGTATTTCTCTCAGATGGAGCATGTGCTGATACATTCCTTCAATGCTTGATTTCATGCTAACATATTCTGTTTGGAGTTGGGAATAAATATTTGCTTAAATCCTAATTATTAAAATCCTATAATAAATATAGTAAAGTTATAGGTACCAGACTACAAAGTGATACAATCTCATTTCCAGAAAATTAATTTTATAGATTTAAGTATGTTGCAGTGGGAGGTAGGCATGGTCATACAGCACTCAGGAAATACAAAGTGGTAAACCATCAAGGACTAACAAGAAATCTGATGCCTTGTGGTTTTTCTTTGTAAATAACATTTTTTGCCTGGAAGTTTGTCAATTTTTTCAATTTCTCCTTAGAATTTGTTAATTGTAAGGAGTAATGTTAGCAATATAGCAGAATACAAGATCTCAGTGCTTAATCTACCCACAGAGCTATTAAACACATCAAATTATCTATCTATCTATCTATCTATCTATCTATCTATCTATCTATCTATCTATCTATATGGAGGGAGACAGAAAGAGAGATGTCCTAACCCTCCCCACTCCTGCTGCCAATACCTCAGAATGACATTTGGAAAAAGGCTTGCTACAAATATAATTAATTAAGTTGAGGTTATACTGTAAGTACAGTGGGCCCCTAAGCCCATATGACTGGTATCTTTATAAAGCCAATATGACTGGTATCTTTATAAAGAAGCCACGTGAAAACACAGGCAGACAGAGAGAACCATGAAATGACAAAGGCAGATTGCTTTGCAGTTATGCAGCTGCAAGCCAGGAACACCAAAGATTTCCAGCAAAACAGCACAAGCTGGGAAGAGGCAAGGAAAAATTCCTCTATAGTTTTTAGAGGGAATATGGCCTGCCAACACCTTGATTTTCGATTTTTAGCCTTCAGAACTGTGAGACGATAACTTTGTTGTTTAAACCATCCTCTTGTGGCACTTTGTTATAGTAGCCCTAGGAAACTAGCATGTCCTGTGTCTTGGAAGTGAATGAAAAGAACACCCTTTCTGTTCAATGGACTTAAATAGGCTGGAGGACAAATGAGGGAGACTTTTCTCCCAAAGATACAAATCAAGGTCTTTGCTTGCAACCTCTTACTCCTTCCTTTCACTGAAGATCTGTCAAATATTGAATTGTTCTCTGAATGCTTTCCACAATCATAAGCCCTTGAAGTAAGTTACAGCTCAAATTTGCATTATGTCCACTAGCTTTGCTGAGACAAAGAGCCAAATACTTCTTCCTAGTTTGAATCCATCTCTGGCCATAACCTTTCTCTTGTGAGTCTCTCTTACTTTTCCCAAAAGCCAAGGCCAAGCTTTTATTTCTTTAATATAATCTTTCTTTGTGCTTGAAAAAATGGGCTCATCCATAGACTCGCTTCTGTTTATTGCTGTATAGTTTACATATAGTAAAATTCACCCATTTTGAGTACAGTTTTATAAAATTGATAAACTTTTATAGTCATGTATTACCACAATCAAGATAAAAGAATATTTCTATCATCCCTACATTTCCCTTGTCTCCCTCCTATCACCTCCAACAAGCCCTTGAATACGACTGATTTCCTCCTCTATTGTTTTGCTTTCCCTAGAATGTCACATAAATTGAATCATACAGTAGATAGAATTTGACTTGTTTCACTCAGCATAATGGTTTTAAAATTCATGCATAATATTGCATGTATCAACAGTTGATTCATTTTTATTACTGAGTAGTGTTCCATTGTATGGATACATCATAAATTATCACTTCACCAATGGATAGATTTTAGATTGTTTGTGATTATGAATAAAGCTTCTATATAATTCATATGTAGGATTTTTGGTGGACATAGATCTTCCCTTCTCCAGATAAATACTAGGAGTAGGATTGCTGTATCTTAAGTATATGTTTAAATATAAGAAACTCCCAAACTGTTTCCCAAGGTGACAGTACCTTATTGAATTTTTATCAGTAATGTGTGAGAGTTGTATTTGCTTCACATCATCACCAGCATTTGGTATGTCAGGCTTTGTTTTGTATTTTTCTAGCTATGCTATTAGATTAGTAAGGAGCTCTTTGTAACTTTAATATGCATTTTATTAATGTCTACTGGTGTTGAGCTCATGTGCATATTTACCACCTGTATTTCTTCTTTGGTAGACTACTTGGCTATATTCAAATAGTATGCACATTTTTTATTGTGTTGTGTACTCATTATTGAGTGAGTTTCCGGAGTTCTCTATATATTATTGAGACAAATCCTTTAACAGATACGTATTTTGTTTTCTCTATGTCTGTGGCATATTAATTCAAAGAATGGATGTTTTAGATTATGATAAAGTCCAATTTGTCATATTTTTGTGGTTTATCCTCTTAGGGTCTTAATCTTTCCCTAACTCTACGTAACAAAGTATTATACCACTAGGTTTTATGTTTAGATTTATATTTATTTGGGGTTATTTTTTGGCACATGGTATGAGATATGTGTTGAGGTCAGTGTTCCTGTATATGAGTGTCCAAACAGCATAGCACCATTTATTGACAAGCCTATCACTTCTATATTAAACTACCTAAGTGATATGTATGGCTGGGATTAATTCTGGACTCTCCAGTCCATCCAATTAATTTATATGTGTATTCTTTTGCAAATGCCATGCTTTCTTAATTACTTTAGCTTTATGGTTAATTGAAATCAAGTAGTATAAAATCTTCAACTTTATTCTTTTTCAAAATTTGGTTATTTCCAATCTTTTTTTGCTGTCATCACTATCTACAAAAACTAGGACTGTGTACAATTATTTATAGATTGGCATTGTGGCCATATTCTGTCTTCTCGTCAATGTATAGGTCATAGATCTCCATTGATGTGTCTTCTTCATTTTGCTCACTAATGTCTTGTAGTATGTAGCATGCAAATCTTTGATAAACTTTTATAGTCATGTATCATCACAATCAAGATAAATAATATTTCTACCATTCCCAAAAGTTCCTTGCCCCTCTTCTATAACCTCCAGCAAGCCCTTGAATACCATTGATTTCTCTATTGTTTTGCCTTCTCTAGAATGTCATATAAATGTAATCATCCAGTATGTAGTCTTTCAAGATGGTACTGTTGTTAAATTCAGTTTCCAATTCATTGCTAGTATATAGAAATATAATTGATTTTTTGTATGTGAACTGCGTCCTCAAATCCAGTGAAAATACTTGTTAAATATCTTTTCATAAATTCTGTGTTTTTCTTTTTAGACAATATTATCACATGTTAATTAAAACAGTTTTATTTCTTCCTACCCAATCCTTTGCTTGCATTATTGCACTGGCTAGGATGCCAGCATGAGGTTGAAATGAGAGCAAGCATCTTCATTTTATTTCACCCAATGTGAATGGGAAAGCATTCAGCATTTCACCATTAAGTATGATATCATCTGTAGGATTTTTCTGTACATTCTTTTTATCAAGATGAGGAGTTTTTTGTAAGTTTCTACTATGTTAAAAGTTTTTAATCATTAATGAGTGACAGATTTTGTCTAATGCTTTATGTCTGTTCAAGTGATCATTTGAGTTTATATTTTATTAAAATAAGGTATTTTTGGATGTGAAACCAGTCTTGCTCTCTTGGGATTAATTCTATGTGATCATGGTGTCTAATAGTTTTGATGTTGCTAGATTTAGTTTGCTAATGTAGTCTTTAGAATTTTGGTATCTGTATTCATGAGGGATATGGGTTGTTATTATTTTTTTGTGATGGCTTTGTCTGTCTTTGACATCAGGGTAAATACTGACTTCTGATGAGTTTGGAAGTGTTCTGTTGTCCTCTATTTTCTAAAAGAGTTTGTGGAAGACCAGTATTCTTTCTTTTTATAAGATGATGTTACATCTACTAGTTTTGTCAAATACTAAGAGAGAAGTATTAAAATTTCCAACTCCAATTGCGAAATTGTCTCTTTTTCAGTTCTGTCAGTTTTAGCGGTATGTATTTTGACAGTCTGTTGTTTGATCCATATTTACCTTGATTACGTCTTGATGATTTGGTCCCTTCATTATTATGTAATGTCCCTATTTATCCCTGGCACTCTTCTTTGCTCAGAAGTCTACATCATTTGCTATTAATACAGGTTGTAAAATTCTTTTGTATTAGTGGGATTTTTGGCCTATGTTTTCTATCCTTTTTAAAACCATCTATATGGTTTAAAAGTTATATTTATGGTTTCTTTTTAAACCATCTAAAGTGTTTCTTGTAAAAGTACATTGTAAAAGAGTCTTGCTTTCTTAATTCAATTTAACAATCTCTGCCCTTTAATATGTTTTGACACATTAAAATTATTGGAGGATTTGCATTTAAGTTTTCTATTTGTGCCCTATTTGTCCCAATTTAGTAATTGTTACTTTGTTAAATTTTCTTGCCACTTTTGGATTCACTTACATTTTTATTGTACTTTATCTTCATTAATTTTATCCATTTTGAAAAGTTTAGTGTTTTTCCTAGTGTTTTACGGTCTACCTTAAAAATATTATACTACTTCGTGAATACCATAAGCTTTCATAATATTTCCAATACCTCCCTCTCTACCTTTTAGCTATTTTTAAATGAATTTTATCTTTATATGTTTTGAAACCTATAATACATTGTTACTATCATTGCTTTTATCTAGTAACTTATCTTTTTGAGTGATTAAAAATAAGAAATAATTATCTCTTATAGTAGTCCTCATTCTTAGCATTTCTGGAAACTCTCATTGTATTGATTAAAATTTGTGACTATTACATTCTTTCTGCCTGAGGATTGTTTATAGTACAAATCTGCTGGCAATGAATTCTCTTAGTTTTGTTTATCTGAAAAATGTTTTATTTTATCTTCAACTTGGAGGAAATTCTGACTGAATATTTCATCTTCCAGCTTGAATAATTTTGAGGTGAGGTTGTTGGATATGTGTTTTGATGTATTTCATTATTTATTTTTGGTTGTTGAATATTCAACGATTTCTTCTGCCAGGTTCTTCTCTCTTTTTATTCTAGGAATTCAAATATACCTAGGTTAGTTCCTTTGAGACTGTCTGTCTCAAACTTCTTGAATGCTCTGTATATTATTTTCACTCTTTTACCTCTTTTTCAGTTTGGGTAATGTCTATTTACCTATTTTCATGTTGACTGTTAACTTGAGATCAGTTAACTGCTGAGGCCACCAAGGAATTTCTTCATCTCTTGTGTCATCTTTTATTTTTACCATTTTCATTTGATATTTACGGTTTTTCTCTCTGCTGATGTTTGCTACCAGTTTATATATTTTACCTTTTTTTAAAACTATATCTATTACATTTTCATCATAATTATTTTATAATTAAATACCTTACCTAATAGTTTCAATACCTGGGTCATCTCTGCATCTGGATCTTTTGATTGTTTTGACTTTTGATGATAAATTTTATTTCTTGCTTTTGATGTGTCTTGTAACGCTGGATAATTACTGAATGCTGGGTAAAGAGTATGGCACTTAAGACTGAGGCAAGCAGAATTTACACTTGAAGATCTCAGCATCTTTTCTTCTATCAGATGGTTAATATTGATTTTTAAGCTCCTTTTGAATTTTGCTTTTGTTGTGATTACTTACATAGATCATAGACTTCAAATTCTTCCAGTGGTGGGCTAGCACCTGTCAGTTATCTACCCCTAGCTTTTAGCCATCACTGAGTGCCATTGCAAGCAGGCTTCTGTGTGTTCTTGTTTCCCTCTTAATGATAAGCAGCTATCAGTTGGTACTCTGTGCTATGCTTGTCCCCTTTAGGGATAAGGATGTTTTGTTACTGTTCTAGTCCAGCCTTTGTCACAGGAACTCTCAATATGCCTGAACCTTGGTAATGGGGTTTTCTCAATATTTCTTCCCCATTTCCTTGTCTGCAACAATTTGCCACTGGTCTTTCTTCGGAGTTACCCGACTCTTTCATTTCACTAGGAGATCTCCACCTGGTATTCTAGGATTTTATATTCAGAATGATTTCTTTTCTCTTTTAGGAGTAAAGAATTAATTTTTTACTCCTCACCCAGTGGTTTTACCTGTGTATCCAAGTGGCCTTGTTGCCACTCTTCCAGTTGCTTAAGGCATTTTCCTTAAAAGATGCAAGCAGGACTTCGTGTCTGACAACCCCTCCTTGCAGCTACCAATCATCACTATAGGCTTGCTCCACCAAGGCTATTCTGTACAGCTTCCTGACTTGACAGCAATTATTATTCTGAGCACCCAGATTACCCTTCTGGGCAGAAGCTTACAAGTGACAGCAGACTTAAATGTCTCTTCCTCTTGTATTTAGTCAGTCACAGATGAAACAGTTTTTGGGTCCTGTTTTATTCTTGGAACAGTTTGTTCCTTTTCAAATTTCAGAATAGTTGGTTACCTTGTGATATTATCTCTATAATTCTGTTGTTTCTCCAGATTTCTCTTTTTAGGTTGGGAGCACAGTCTCTGCAGCTTTGTATGGAGTTTGGTTCACTGATTTTGACCTCTGTTCAAAACTGTTCTCCAGTCATAAGATAAACAAAAGCACATTGGCGTTTCCAAAATGTAGGAATAAAATGTTCTATATTCCACCATAACTCTAGTTGTTCTTGTCTTATACTCTGGCTAATTCTCCATTATGTGTTTTCTTCTTTAGCATCCCTGACCACTATTCTTTCGGGTTTTTTCCCCTCTCCATTATCTTTTTTGTCTTTCTTTTCTCCGCCTTATGTCTTAATGTTCTTCTAACAATTTGAATACCTCATCTCCCTAGGATTCTCTCAAACCTCAAGTCTCACTCATCACAACTCTATCCTCTGAGATTACCATCCTAATTAGCCAAGGCGGAAGCTCCTTTTCACAAACTCTCACTTTAAAGCAGACAGTGTGAATCTCTTTGACATCAGGTAATTCAGTTTACAAGGCAATTAACATTTACATAAATGCCATTTAATACAATGATATTTTATTGTAATTTATCTCATTTTTCCCATATTGGTTGATAATGTCCAAATCTGTCATAATTTTAGAGTATAACAATTCTGTTAATTATATGTTATATTGATAAATGTTTAGATATCAACCTGACTTCTCTTAAGCTAGCAGATAAGAAAATTGGTAGAGTTTGAATCTGACTCTTAATTTTTAAAGAAGACAGTTCCTGTACTATTCACCTTTTAGAGCAACTACCAGATTCCATATAATTAATGTATATTTTATAAGAGTGATAATGGTCTCATCAGGAGTCTTATAATTTAGCAAATTGGTTTCCCGTAACTTAGTCTTCTATTTCCACTAGGAAACCATATCGTTATTTTAAATTGCAACTTTTTAAAGTAAAGTAAAGTATTAGCACTTGAATAATTTGTTTGTTTTCCCTATATAGTTGCTTCATCTTGATTTATTTTCTTCTTTTCTAGCTCCTCTTTATCTTCAATATTTCATCTACATCCCAAATCCATTATATTTTCTCTCTTGAGACTGCTTTTTGAATTTTTCTTCTGTTCAATATTCCATGAATGTGCAGAGAAGTTTCTGGCCAAATTCTCTCACAATTTATTGAAACAAAACAAAATAAGAAAGCGGTAAAAATTTCTGTGTTGCTCATAAGTATAAGAAAGAAAATCATTTTTATTTTATATATTTTTTGGATCCAGAGTCTTGCTATATTGCCCAGGCTGGAGTGCAGTGGCGCAATCTTGACTCACTGATTCTCCTGCCTCAGCCTCCTGAGTAGCTGGGACTACATGCATGAGGCACCATACCCTGTCAGAAAATCCTAAAGAAATTTAAATTCTTTTTAGCCATGAGAAGTGAACCTCCAATACATTTTACAATATTTTGAGCTTAAGAGAAGCTCAGAGACAGTGTCTTGGCAGAAGATGTTATTTGTTTTGCTGACATGATATCTGACAATGTTTGGATTAGTTGTCAACATTTAAAAAATTTACATAAAATCTAGATTTATAGTTTTTCTTTAGAATGTGGAAGAATGACACGATTGGGCTTACATTTTGTTTTTTGAGATGGAGTCTCACTCTGTCGCCCAGGCTGGAGAGCAATGGCCCGATCTTGGCTCACTGCAACTTCTACCTCTCGGGGTTCAAGTGGATTATCCTGCCTCAACCTCCCAAGTAGCTGGGATTACAGGCACATGCCTGGCCAGGCCTGCGTTTTAACATGACAACACAAATGGCACAGCATAGAACATAGGACATAGAAATCTAGCTTTTCATATACAGTCTTCACAGATGCCCATGCCACACATTTTAATCATCTGGCTGGCTCCTGAAGCATTTGAGTTCATAGCTATTGCTTTAGAGATTGGCCTCTAATAGAGGCATGCACAGTTTCAGTGGATAAAGAACCAATCAAAACAAGTGTTCAGGTGATAACATTGTCAAAACTCACCTATTACTTGCTCCTATCTCATGCAAGCTTTCCCAAATATTTTACTTAGATTACTCTAGTTTCGATGACAGTTTGAGTGTAAACAGGGGCACTATCAAGAACTTGTTAGAACTATAATTGTATAATGAGACTGCTTCTCTCAACTCTGGCAAATGGCTGTCCTACTTATGAACAGACTCTTGATGAGCTCACACAATTATCTGTAATTCTTTTTCACTTAAATTTCCAGCTAGCTGTAGCTTCTACTTAAAATGTTTGTTTATTAATTTATTTCTTTAAAAAAATAAATGTGTTAGTCTTCTTTCCAGAAGAATATTCCTGGGAATAGGTGGGAAGTAGACAAATTATCCATTATATAGAGCTTCTGTTTGTTTGCAAATAAAGATTCAATGCAGTATCATAGGGATAAGGTCTATGACTGGAAATGAAACAAGTAAGGGCTGAAGACTAATGTGTTGGTTCTACTTTACATAGGGTTGTTAGCAAAGACATCACTGAGGAGGTGATGTCAGAACAGAGGCCATGTGAAAATGAATAGTGCAACTGTCTAGGGGCAAGGTTTTGCAGGCAGCAGCAAATGTGAATGCTTTGACATCTTCAAAGTCTACTGGTCCAAAGAGGCTATCCCAGAGAGATAAGGAAAGTGAGTATTAGAGAATGAGGTTAAAGATGAACCAAATTAAATAAATAGTAGGATATAAGAATGTAAGAATGAACCTTGATCCTTCTCCTGCTGAGACTTCACCCTGTCGTGGCAGAAAGTGTGAAGAAAACATCATTGCCTTTGGATTATGCCAGCACTTTGAGCATTATGACATGTTCTCTAGATCTGAATTCTGGACCTCATATGCCTCTTCTTTGTTTCAGGCACAGTTAATTTTCTTCTAGACTTCTGACTCCTTCCTGATAACTGGTTACTGAAAACAAGCTCCCTGATCTCTGAATTAAATCTTTGATTTTGCAATCTATAATTGGGTCCTAACCTCGAATTTATATACTATTGCAAGGTGTCCTAATTTCCCAGTGCTTGTGACCTCTGCTTGAATATGACCTCCTCTGGTTCTTCAACCTTCAGCTTCCCCTCCTCTGCATTGTGAAGCAGGTGAACTGTGCACTGGTTACCAACCGCTGGGAAAAATTCCCACTGCATGGGGAATAGCAAATATCATCACTAAGCCCATCACGAGAAAGAGAAGTCTTAACACTTCAGTCCACTGCATTTGGATCTGCAATTTTTATCACTTGCATGAGTCAGGTGAGACATAATACTCATACAAGTTATGTGAAGCAATTTTATTATTCACACATAGGCGGTAAGGGGAAGCAGAGCCCTAGAATTCATGATGAGCTTTTCTGAAGCTCAGAAAAGCTGCCCAGGGTGTCTGGCATCTTATGTGTGCCCCACCTGCACTGCAGCTGAAAACAGTGTACCTTGGGTTTTATATCCCAGGGATAACATAATTTGCCAAGCTAAAATGCTGAAGGACATCTTGTTCCAGGAGGGGCAGGAATAGAGCCTGTTCCTTCTTATCTCGGCAAGCTGCACTGCCAGCATATTCTCTATGTTTATGTTTGAGAACCTCACATGAGAAAGGGGGAGAGAACTGGGTCAGTCCAAGGTCACCCGGAGCTCTGTCCTGCACACATACCTGCCTTTCTTGAGGTGTTGCTTGAAATAACAGTTCTATACCTGCTATTTGACCATTATACTGATATCAATCTCCAGTTCCACTAATACCTATTGTATAGATGACTTCATGTAAGTAGATAATTAAGAAGATAAAATGCATGCAAAACAAATACTCCCAATTTTGTGCCTAAACATGATGCCCAGAAGAGATTTTTAAAGGTTTTCTCTTTTCATACACAAATGGACAATGCAATTTAACATGTTTTGCTAGTCACAAGAAAATGTTTTACGTCGACATCATGACTTTTATGCCACAAAACCATTCTCACGTCTTGGACTCTGTAGAAATAAATATTTACCAATCACACTGAGGATGCACCAGCTTGATGGCCCAGGGAATCAACATCTCAGCACATTCTTTAGCCATCCAAAACACCGTAATTTGGGGTTCTTTAGCATAGCCAGTTTTGTTGGAAAAATTCGCTCAGTTATGTCCAAAAATCAGTTGATTAAAAGTATTTTTACATATATCAGAATAAAATACCGATATTCTTCCATCTCCCCTTTAGTTACACTTCTGAACACTAAAGACCAAAAAAAAGAAGAAAATATAGTCTCATTAATATGTTTTAAAACTCCTTTTTACCACTTTGCAACAAAACGATTTCCTCAAATGACATTAATATGAACAATAAAATAGTTTAGAACTGGCTGCTATTTCTGAGGTTTGAACATGTTTTACTTTTCTACCTGTTCCATTTTTTCCGAGATAATATCTAACATAAGTTTTTAATAATATAAATTTTATTTTCAGTTTTTCATGAAACATGTATTTCCTTTTTATTTTAACAAACCGCTATTTATCACCTATTCTATGCTGCGTTCTCTATGCCGGGGAACTAAAAAGAAAGACATAGTCCCTTCTTTAAGCTATTCATAATCTAGAGGAGGAAAGTGAAAAGAAAACAGTTATAATATGTATGCTACTTATAATATCAGAATTGTATATAAGGAATCAGAGTAGTCAATAGGAAGAAGTGGTCAGCTTTATCCAAATGTTAGAAGATAAGGCAAGTAAGATACTAAATCCACAGATCTGGAAGAGGCAAAACATTAAAGTAAATTACCTGGAATATTTGCAAATTCTCTTTTGAAAAGTGTGAAATCCTTATTGTCCATAGTTCATCAAATTGAGTATTAATTATCCCTGGTGTATTCACAAACCTTAGAGGAAACTATCATGGCCCATAAATCTCATTTTTCTCACCGTAGAAGCTAATGCTCAATGAAAGGTGGGCAACATGTGCATGCATGGTTATGAGAAAAGTACTGATTATTTTTATTGCCCTGAATGGGCCTATTTATTCAAGAGCAGTGATATGCTATCATAGATGATAGTGCTCTTAACGATTTTATAGAAGAAACAAAGCCAATGCTACCGGGATACCCACATCTGTTTATCCATTTTAGAAACAGCATTAAAAAAACATTGATTACATGCCTGAACAAGAATGCGTTCAGATCTTTTAGGCAGCCTCCTTTGCATTTAATGTAACTAGTGCCATTGCCTCTCTGCAGGTAAGGGACTTACTTAGCATGGGTAAGTGCCTTGGCAGTAATACTGAAGATGCCTGAGTAAGTCTGCTGATGGTATTAATGATTTATTTGAATCCCTGGACATAAAGGGAATGTTAATTCTAGTGGCCTGGTAAAATTTGAACCAGGCAATTGATAGGCAGAAATTAGATCCCAAACCCTACCTAGCAATTTAAACTGTATGTACATACATGACCTCATTTTTCTTATAACGCCATATTGAATGACTATAAAAGATTGGTAGAAGAGGTACCTCATCTAAGTCTGATGTAAATCATTTTTAATTCATTTTACTAATCATATATAAAAAGTGACTATATATTTTGAAATATATAGTCAGTTGCAACAAATTGAAAACAAACTAGATGATCACTACAAAGGAATAAAAAAGGGATTCTGTATTGTATTTTCTATTCATTATGTTTCCACATGTTCTCACAGGGTTATATCTCCCAAGATCATGGTTTCAATTCATGTCTGGAATTCACTCCTAGACTTCAAGCCCCATATGCTAGTCCTTAACAGATATATTTACCTGGAGGTTCTCAACACATCTCAGTCCCAAACTCTGAAATTATTCTCATTAGTTATTCTATCATCTTATACAAAGAGAAAAGATACTTCTTATACCTATTCAGGTTGCCAAGTCAGAAACTTGTGTGTCATCATAGACCCTTTCCTCTTCCTCTCCATTTTTCCAATAGAAGAGAATTTTTGAAGTCATAAGATTTCAATCTGGTGCACATTTTTTCATTCATATTCTCCTTTACATCTTCACTGCTATTACTCTGGTTCTGATGTTGACCATCTCTCTGTAGACCATTGGAATGACTCCCAGCTGAAGGCTTCCACTCCAAGGTTTAGAACACTTCATTCTTACACTTGCAGTTTCCAAGGGTATCTACATGTTCAGCAGATGGTTTGAAGTTAAGGACATAGCTGTATTTTAAAGTAAAAGATTTGAGATATTCAGTAATTTGAAATTCTAGGAGTAAATTAGATCAACCAGCCCAAGTTTCATGAGAGATGATGACCTAGTAATACTAGGCTTTACAATTTATTGCTTTGAGAATCCCTCTTAAATATATGTATTAATGTTTACTTATAAATATTTAAAAATATTTATTACTATAAAATAGTTATTTAAATTGGTGTAAGTATTAACTTCTAATATTTAACAGGGATTGTCAAAACAAAAGAAGAAAAAATTAAAGATAGTGGAAATGTTAGAAATGCAAACTTTTCAATTGTAATAAAGCTTGTGATTGCAATTTGCCCCATTCTGGATAGTAAGTATATCCCCCACCACCACCCATGAGTGCTTGAATACAGTAAGCTAAGATTAGGTTATCTATTCTTCAAGTTAGCCACTTGCTCTTAGCACACCAAAAAGTTCCTAGGATGAAATGAAGCATTTGACTACCTGTTCCTAGATGTCTCTTGTAATTGCCTGCTGTTTTTTTGTGATTTGTCTCACACGATTTTTCAGTCACTTCCTCTCCATTTCACAGTTCAGATAAGGTGGTCTTCAACTGGTGAAGTGAAGTGCTAAAGAGAATGGTGCAGTTGCTAAATATACGCTTACTTGTTGAGTACTTGGGAGAGAAAACATCTGTGCAATGTAGTTTCCAGCATCATGGGAAAACTGAAAATGAGACTACTAAAGCTAAAAATGAAACTACTATAGCTAAAGAGCAAAACAAATGTAATGCAATAATTTAAAGTACTTAAGTTAGACAACTTTCTCTTTAAGATCATAAGGAGGGTTGTTAAATATAATACCCTCCATATTATAGTCTGCAGAGGATTAGATAAGTGAACATTATTGTTATAGTTAATCATCTGAACAAACTTCTGAGTTCCCTTAGTATTTAAGAATTACGTGTTATACTCCACCGTACTAAACATTCCCACACTTAATTTGTAAAGGTAGATAAATTGAACAGGAGCTCCTAATCAGCACGATTTCTGTAACAGCAGAACCATGTCTCCCCTCCCTTAGATGACATCTACTGTAAAAAGAGAAACCAATAGTGTACCAAACACACCATTTTGCAAGGAACCAGCTCTTCTGGAAAGCAATAAGCAATGTGTTATGTGACTCTAATGCCTGTTTTACATTAAGGTATCTGGCTAAAGTGAAAAGCTCATTCAAAACAATCACTTAATGGCCAGGTGCGGTGGCTCACGCCTGTAATCCCAGCACTTTTGGAAGCTGAGGTGGGCAGATCACGAGGTCAGGAGTTGGAGACCGGTCTGGCCAACATGGTAAAACCCCATCTCTACTAAAAATACCAAAATTAGCCATGTAATCAGTGCATGTAATCCCAGCTACTCAGGAGTCTGAGGCAGGAGAATTGCTTGAACCCAGAAGGCAGAGGTTGCAGTGAGCTGAGATCACGCCACTGCACTCTAGCCTGGGCAACAGAGCAAGACTCCATCTCAACAAAAGCCACTTGTATTACTTCTAGGGCTTTTCTCCATAGGAGAAAAAAAGAAACTGTTAATGATGTTGAAATCATATAGGTGTGTGGAGAAAGTCATGTGCCACCATTATTTTTAAAATTTGGGATAAACCTATATAAGAAGTTCTTTGCAATGCACGAGGACCTAAGCACTTAAGAAAGTCATTTACGGTATCAACTAAATATGTTTAGAGTTACTATAAGTCAAAATTCTTCTCGACGAATTCAAGTTGAAACATTTCTAGTGCCCTATTGAGTTGTTTGACTTGTATAAACAACTTTTAAGAAAGGTCAATCAACTACACTTTCCAAAACATTTGATTTTCAAATCATTATAATAACAGTAATTCTAGTGCTATTAGCCCTTACACTGCATTCAGCTGTAATGTTTTCATAGCATTTATATATATATATATATAGCATTTATATATATATATATAGCATATATATATATTTGAGATATATTTGAGACAAATATATATATATATATATTCGAGACAAATATATATATATATATTTGAGACAGAGTCTCACTTTTGTCATCCAGGTTGGAGTGAAGTGGTGGGATCTCAGCTCACGGTAACCTCCACCTCCTGGGTTCAAGCGATTCTCCTGCCTCAGCCTCCCAAGTGGCTGGGATTACAGGTGTCTGCCACCATGCCTGGCTAATTTTTGTGTTTTTAGTAGAGACGGGGTTTTGCCGTATCGGCCAGGCTGGTCTTGAATTCCTGACCTCAGGTGCTCAACCTGCCTCGGCCTCCTAAAGTGCTGGGATTACAGGCCTGAGCCACTGTGGCCAGTTCCAAATATTTTTTATTATGGCAAAATTCACATAACAAATTTACCATGGTAACCAATTTTAATTGTACAGTTCAGTGTTACTATATATACTCATAACTTTGAAACTGTCACCAATATTCATCTCCATAATTCTTTTTATCTTATAAAACTGCAATTCTATACTTATTAAACAATACCTCCTCCTTCCCCCAATCCTCTGGAAACCACCATTCTACTTTGTCTCTATGATTTTGACTACTTTAAATGTATCATACAGGTGGAATGATACAGCATTTGTCTTTTTGTGACTGGTTTGCTTACTTAGCATCAAGACTTCAAGGACTATTCATATCGAAGCATATGTCAGAAATTCCTTTTTAAGGCTGAATAACATTCCATCATATGTATATGCCAATTTTGCTTATCCATTCATCTACTGATGGACGCTTAAGATACTTTCATGTTGTAGCTACTGTGAATAATGCTGTTATAAACATGGGTGTAGAAATCTCTTTGGGATCCTTTTCTCAGGTCTTTTGGGTAAATTCACTGAAGGAGAATTGCTGGATCACATGGTAATCCTATTTTTAATTTTTTTGTGATACTGCCATACTGTTTTCCATTCTATTTTACATTTCTTGCAAAAGTGTTCCAATTTCTCCACGTCCTAACATTTGTTATTCTCTTTGGTTTTGGTAGTAGCCATCCTAATGAGTGTCAGGTGGTATCATGTTGTAGTTTTGATTTGCATTTCCCTAATGATTAATGATGTTGAACATCTTTAAATGTGTTTTTTGTATTTTCTTTGGAGCAATGTCTATTCAAGTCCTTTGCTTTTGTGGCTGTTAACTTTGGGAATTTCTCTATATATTCTGAATGTTAATCCCTTGTTAGATATGATTTGCAAATGTTTTCTTTCATTCTGTGGTTCACCTTTTTACTCTATTGATTTTGTCTTTTAATGCACATTTAAAATTTTTCATGATATCAAATTTATCTTTTTTGTTAACTGTGCCTTTGGTGTCATACCTGAGAAATAATTGCCAAATATAATGTGTTCATGTTTTCTTCTAATAATTTTACAGATTTAGGTGTTTGATCCATTTTGAGTTAATTTCTATATATAGTATTAAGTTCATGTACAACTTTATTCTTTTTATATGTGGATATCTAATTTTTCCAGACCATTGCCTGAAAGACTGTTCTTTTCTCATTTGGTCTTAACACCCTTGCCAAAAAATCATTTGACCATATGTGTGAGGGTTTATTTCTGGGCTCTCTATTCTATTCCAGTGGTCTACATGTCTGTTTTTATGCCAGTACTACACTGTAGCTTCATATTAAGTTTTGAAATCAGAAAGTGTGAGTCCTCCAGCTTTTTTTTTTTTTTCCAACATTGTTTTGTCTCTTTGGGCTTCCTTAAAATTCCGTATAAATTTTAGAATGGGTTTATCTATTTCTACAAAAAGAAAACACTGGATTTTGATAGAAATTGCACTGAATCTATAGATTGGTTTGGGTGATACTGACATATTAACAATATTAAGTCTTTCCAGGAACACAGGGTGTGTTTCTATCTATTTAAGTCTTCTTTATTTCAGTAATGTTTTGCAGTTTTATTTTGGCAAGTATTTCACCTCCTTAAGTGAAACCCTAAGATTTATATTCTTTTAATGCTATTGTAAATATGATTATTTTTATAATTACCTTTTCAGATTGTTCATTGTTAGCATGATTTTTGTGTATTAGCTTGTATCAGCCTGCTATTTCACTGAATTTGTTCTCACAGTTTTTTGGTGGAATCTTTAGGGTTTTCTATATGTAAGATTATCTCATCTGCAAACAGAGGTAATTTTACTTACTCTTTTATAATTTGGAGGCCTTTGGTTTTTATTTTTAATTACTAATTGCTCTGGCTACAACTTCAGAACTACGTCAAAGAGCAGTGTACTAGTGATCATCTTTGCCTTGGTCCTGGTCTTAGACAGAAAACTTTCATTCTTTCTCCATTGAGTATGATGTTTGCTGTGGATTTTTTATGTATAATTTGTTATGTGGAGGCAGTTTCCTTCTTATTCTAGTTTGTTGAGTGTTTTAATCATAAAAGCATGTTGAATTTGTAACATGCTTTTTCTGTATCAATTGGGATAATCATGTGGTTTTTATTCTTTCATTTCTTAATCTGTTGTATTACAATGATGGCATTTTTTATGTTGAATCAGTCTTGTATGCAAGAAATAAATCTCATTGATCATGGTATATAATACATTTTTAAGGATTTTTTTCATCAAAGATATTAGTTTGTAGTTTACTTTTTTGCAGTATGTTTCTGTCCAGCTTTGATAATGCTGGCCTTATAGAATGAGTGAGGAAGTGTTTTCTCCTCTAACTTTTTTGGAAAAAAATTTTTTTTTTCCTTTTTGAAACAGGGTCTCACTCTGTCACCCAGGCTGGAGTGCAACGGCATGATCAAGCTCACTGCAGCCTCAAGTGATTCTCTTACCTCAGCCTCCGGGTTAGCTGGGACTACAGGCACGCACCACTACTCCCAGCTATTTTCTGTATTTTTTGTAGAGAGAGGGTCTCACCATGTTGCCCAGGCTGGTCTTCAACTCCTGGGCTCAAGGAATCCTCCTGCCTCAGCTTCTCAAAGTGCAGGGATTTCAGGTGTGAGCCACCACACCCGACCTGGAAAAGTTTTAAAAGGATTGATATTAAGGCTTTTTTTTAACTTTCAGGAGATTTCAATTAATCTTATAATTTTAGGTCTATTGAAACTTTATTTTTCCATACGTTATTGGGGTACAGGTGGTATTTCATTACATGATTTGTGAGATTTTGGTTTGCACCATATTTGTAGTCTTTTATCGCTTGCCCCTCTCCCACTTTTCCCTTCCAATTCCCCAACGTCCATCGTATCATTCTTATGCCTTGGCGTCCTCATAGCTTAGCTCCCACACATCAGTGAGAACATACGATGTTTGATTTTCCCTTCCTGAGTTACTTCACTTAGAATAATCGTCTCCAGTCTCATTCAAGTCACGGCTAATGCTGTTAATTCATTTCTTTTAATGGCTGTGTAGTATTACATCATATATGTATACCAGTTTCTTTAACCACTCATTGATTGAAGGGCATTTGAATTGGTTCCACGATTTTGCAATTGCGCTGCTATAAACAAGCTTGTGCAAGTATCTTTTTCGAATAATGACTTTTCCTCTGGGTACATACCCAGTAGTGGGATTGCTGGATCCAATGGTAGTTCTACTTTTAGTTCTTTCTTTAAGGAATCTCCACACTGTTTTCCATGGTGGCTGTACTGGTTTACATTCCTACCAGCAGTGTAGAAGTGTTCCCTGTTCACTGCATCCCTGTCAGCGTCTAGTCTTGGCAAGTTTTGTATTTCTAGAAATCTGCCCATTTCAACTAGGTTATTTAATTTGTAAACATAAAATTTTTATGATACTCATAGTCCTTTTTATTTCTGTAGAAGTGTTAGAAATGGTCCACTTTCCTTCTCAATTTTAGTAATTTTAGTCTTTTTTCTTAGACATCTAGATAAAGGTTTGTAAATTTTGTTGATCTCGTCAAAGAACCAAGCTTGTTTTATTGCTTTTATTTTTTTTAAAAAGGACAACATCATATTTTATTCATTTATTTGTAAACTCGGGTACAGAAGTTTGAGCTACTCATTCTTACAAGCTCATTAATGGGTCATTATCATCATTGGTCCATGCAAGATCCCTCTCTTGTTTTATTTATTTATTCCCTCTTATACTCATGACTCACTTCCTTTCTCCTCCTTCCTTACTACAGACAAATATTCTAACATATTTAATGTGTATGTGTATTTGCACAAATTCTTCACATATTGTGACATGTATGCATGTATTTAGTTCACAGAAAGAGTATGTTATAGGTTTCTCTAGTTTTTTTTGTACAATCAGCATAACGTGGTTTCAGGGTCCATTCAAATCACTATGTGTGTGTTTAGTCTGTTGCTGCTAACGACTGCACAGTACTCCATGGTATGCAGTCACATTTCGCTTGCCTCAAACTCACTGGTACCACAAACAACAATGCAGTGCACCTTCTTGTATTCATCTCCATGCGGACCTCTCAGAGACTTTAAGATATATACTCCGCAGTGGAATGGTTGCTCAGAGCTATGGAATACTTAGGTTGACCAAGTATGACTGGCATGCTCTCCAGAAGAGATGCGTCTATCTACATCTATCTACACTCTCATCAATCAGTCCTGTTATTCAGCTTTGTTTTTTTCTTTTATTATACTTTAAGTTCTAGGGTACATGTGCACCATGTGCAGGTTTATTACGTATGTATACATGTGCCATGTTGGTGTGCTGCACCCATTAACTCATCATTTACATTAGATATTTATCCTAATGCTATCCCTCCCCTAGCCCCCCATCCCACGACAGGCCCTGGTGTGTGATGTTACCCTTCCTGTGTCCAAGCGTTCTCATGGTTCAATTCCCACCTATGAGTGAGAACATGCGGTGTTTGGTTTTCTGTCCTTGCGACAGTTGCTCAGAATGATGGTTTCCGGCTTCAACCATGTCCCTACAAAGGACATGAACGTGTCCTTTTTTATGGCTGCATAGTATTCCATGGTGTATATATGCCACATTTTCTTAATCCAGTCTATCATTGATGGACATTTTGGTTGGTTCCAAGTCTTTGCTATTGTGAATAGTGCCGCAATAAACATACGTGTGCATGTGTCTTTATAGCAGCACGATTTGTAATCCTTTGGGTATACACCCAGTAATGGGATGGCTGGGTCAAATGGTATTTCTAGTTCTAGATCCTTGAGGAATCGCCACACTGTCTCTTCCACAATGGTTGAACTGGTTTACAGTCCCACCAACAGTGTAAAGTGTTCCTATTTCTCCACATCCTCTCCAGCACCTATTGTTTCCTGACTCTTTAATGATCGCCATTCTAACTGGTGTGAGATGGTATCTTGCTGTGGTTTTGATTTGCATTTCTCTGATGGCCAGTGATGATGAGCATTTTTTCATGTATCTGTTGGCTGCATAAATGTCTTCTTTTGAGAAGTGTCTGTTCATATCCTTCGCCCACTTCTTGATGGGGTTTTTTCTTGTAAATTTGTTTGAGTTCTTTGTAGATTCTGGATATTAGCCCTTTGTCAGATGGGTAGATTGCAAAAATTTTCTCCCATTCTGTAGGTTGCCTGTTCACTCTGATAGTAGGTTTCTTTTGCTGTGCAGAAGCTCTTTAGTTTAATTAGATCCCATTTGCCAATTTTGGCTTTTGTTGCCATTGCTTTTGGTGTTTTAGTCATGAAGTCCTTGCCCATGCCTATGTCCTGAATGGCATTGCCTAGGTCAACTCACACCAAGATACATTATAATCTAACTTTTGAAAGACAAAACAAATAGTGAATCTTGAAAGTAGCAAGAAGGAAGCAAGTTATCACATACAAGGTATTCTCAATAAGATTATCAGCAGGTTTCTCATTAGAAACTTTGCATCTGCCAAAACTGTCCTTTAAAAGTGAGGGAGATCACATTCTCAAAGAAACAAAATCTGAGTAATTTTATTATCATTAGACCTACCCTGCAAAAAGAATTTTCTAAGGAGTCCTTAGAGTTAAATGAAAATACTGTAGATGGTAACTTAAAGCCATATGAAGAAATAAAATTCTCAATAAAGGTAAATATGGATAATTACAAAAGGAAGCATTATTGTACCAGGAGCTTATAACTCCTCTTTTGTTTTCTAGATGCTTTTTTTAAATGAATACATTTTTTAGAATGATTATTAGTCTAAAATCTAGTATTACTGTAACTTTTGTTTGCAATGCCAGATTTGGTTTTATATAACTTAAGAGACAAATACACTTAAAAAACTTAATAGTTTGTTTCTGCACACCCAATGTATAAACATGTAGTTTTGTGACATCAACTAAAAGGGATGGGGACACAGCTATAAAGGAGCAGAGGATTTGTATGTTTTAAAGTTAGGTTGGTATAAACCCATCTTCACGGTAACCACAAAGAAAGTAGATATAAAATATACCCCAAAGAAAATGATTAAGGAATTTAAATATATTGCTACAAAACAAACTAAATGGAAAACATAGAAAGGCAAGAAATCAGAGGGAAAGACTATAAAGCATATGAAAACAAAGAGCATAATGATGCTAGTTAGTCCCTCAGTAGTAATTACTTTAAATATAAATGGATTAAACACTCCCATCAAAACACAGAGATTAGCAGAATGAATTAAAAACACATGATCCAACTATATTGTGTCTACCAATGACTCACTTTAGGGACTGCAGAAATGTTGGTCACATGGTACAAAGTTTCTGTTAGGAGGAATAGATGACAAATATCTAAGGTAATCGTTATGCTAATTAGCTTAATTCACTAATTCTGCATTGTATACATTTATCATACGTCAGTGTATATTTTTTGGCAAATATATATGTATATATATTATATATGTGTATATATATGTATATATATTTTATATATATATAGCCTTTGTCTAATATATTTGCCATCAAGTCTTTCAGGGACAGTTTCTCTTCATCTTTTTTTTTTTGGCTTTGAACTGGCCATACTTTCCTGTTTCTTTGTATGCTTTGTGAATTTATGCTATATTAGTCTGTTTTCATGCTGCTATAAAGAACTACCTGAGTTTTATAGTCTCAGGTAGTTCTTTATACCTGAGACTGATTGACTCACAATTCCACATGGCTGAGGAGGCCTCAGAAAACATACAATCATGGCAGAAGTTGAAGGAGAAGCAAGGACCTACTTCACAAGGCAGCAGGAGAGAGGGGGCAGACAAGGGTAGTGCCAGACACTTAACAAACAACCAGATATCATGAGAACTCTAGCACAAGAACAGCAAGGGGAAAGTTCATTCCCAGTCACCTTCCACCAGACTACTCCCCCAACATGTGGCGATTATAATTTGAGATAAGATTTGGTTGAGGACACAGCCAAACCATATCGCTCCACCCTGGCCCCTCCCAAATCTCATGTTCCTTTCACATTTCAAAACCAATCATGCCTTCCCACGAGTCCCCCAAAGTCTTAATTCATTCCAGCATTAACTCAAAAGTCCAAAGTCTCATCTGAGACAAGGCAAGTCCCTTCCACCTCTGAGCCTATAAAATCAAAAACTAGTAATGGGGGTACAGGCATCGGGTAAATATTCCCATTCCAAATGGGAAAAATTGGCCCAAACAAAGGGGCTACAGGCCCCATGCAAGTCCAAAATCCAACAGGGCAGGCATTATATCTTCAAGCTCCAAAATAATCTTCTTTGACTGCACATCTCACCTCCAAGGCATTGGGCAGCTGTGGCTCTGCAGGGTACAGCCCCCATGGGTGCTTTCACAGGCTGGTTTTGAGTGCCTGCGGCTTTTTCAGGTGCATAGTACAGGCTGTTGATCTACCATTCTGGGGTTTGGTGGACTGTGGCCCTCTTCTCACAGCTCCACTAGGCAGTGTCACAGTGGAGACTCTTTGAAGACTCTGACACCCCATTTCTCTTCTGCACTGCCCTAGCACAGGTTCTCCATGAGGGCTCTGCCCCTGCAGCAGACTTCTGCCCGGACATTGACATGTTTTCATTCATCCTTTCAAATCTAGGCAGAGGTTCACAAACCTTAATTCTTGCTTTCTGTGCACCTGCAGGCCCCACAGCACGTCTAACCTGCCAAGGCTTGGGGCTTACACCCTCTGAAGCCATGGCCCAAGCTGTCCATTGGCCCCTTTTAGCCATGGCTGGAACTGGAGCAGCAGGGTCCTAGGCCCAGCCCACAAAACCATTTTTTCCTCCTAGGCCTTGAGGCCTGTGTGGGAGGGGCTGCCATGAAGCTCTCTGAAATGCCCTGCAGACATTTTTTCCATTGTCTTGGCTATTAACATTTGGCTCATTACTTATGCAAATTTCTGCAGCCAGCTTGAATTTCTTCTTAGAAAATGGGTTTTTCCTTTCTAGTACATGGTCAGCCTGCAAATATTTCAAACCTTATGCTCTGCTTCCCTTTTAAACATAAGTTCAAATTTCAGACTCTCTCTTGTGAACACATATGAGCATATGCTTTTAGAGAAAGCCAGGTTACCTTTTGAATGCTTTGCTGCTTGGAAATTTCTTCTGTCAGATAACCGAAATCATCTCTCTCAAGTTCAAAGTTCCACAGATACTAGGGCAGGGGCAAAATGCTGCTAAGGCATAGCAAGGGCGACCTTTACTCCAGTTCCCAATAAGTTCCTCATCTCCATTTGAGACCTCTCCAGCCTGCACTTCATTTTCCATATCACTATCAGCCCGTTAGTCAAAACCATTCAACAAGTCTCTAGGAAGTGTCAAACTTTCCCTCATCTTTCTGTCTTCTTCTGAGCCCTCCAAACTGTTCCCAAGTTGCTTCCACATTTTATGTTTATAGCAGTGTCCCACTCTCCTGGTACCAATTTTGTATAGTAGTTCATTTTCACACTGCTATAAAAAACTATGTGAGACTGGGTAATTAATAAAGAAAAGAAGGTTTAATTGACTCACAGTTCTGCATGGCTGGGGAGACCTCAGGAAACTGGGAATCATGGTGGAAGGAGAAGCAAGGAGGAGAGGGAGTTGGGAGGATGTGCCACACTTATCAAACAACCAGATATCATGAGAATAGCAAAGGGGAAGTCTGCCCCCACAGCTCAGTCACCTTCCACCAGGCTTAGAGATGAGATTTGCATGGGGAAACAGAGACAAACCACATCATATGCTTTGTGAATTTTTTGTTGAAAACTATACATTTAAATCTAAAAATCTCTGGAAATCACATTCTGTCCCTATCCTGGGTTTGCTGTCATTTACATTGTTTCTGGAGGCCATTTTTGAGCCTTCCCGTGGGTATGCATGGTTGCTTTTTGATTTTCCCCACATATGCAGTTGTATTCAATGTCCTTCTCTTCAATTTCTGGCTCCCAAAACAAAAAAAGAAAAATGAAGGTAAGTGGAAAAGGGTGTCAGCTGTTTCACTCTCCTAGAAGTCACTTCAGCTAGGATAGGAATTTACAACAATGCAGGAGCATCTCTTTGTCTACACCTGTGTCAGCAGAAGCAGCAATCAGGAACCAGAGCACAGATTGTAGATATTTCAAAGACAGGTTCCTTTTTACCCACCTTCACTCAAGCAAGCTGTTTGCAAACTGTTCCAGGAACACAGGAGCACAGCTGCTTGCCATGTGGCTAAGACCTGGAAATGAGTGTCTGCTACCATGATAAATGCTGAAAATGAACAGATATTAACTGCAATTTACTTTCTAAGACTTTTCTCTGGAAGTTCCAAGCCTTCAGCAGACTCCAGAGTTCCCAAATACTTACATCAGACAAATTCTGCCAGTGCAATTGTTGTCTAGGTGGGGCAATGTATTCCTGGAGGTTCCTACTCCACCATCTTCCTAGAATCCTCTCCTCTCAAAATAGTGTTAAAAGTTACCTTGGTGCTGATCTATATTATTCCTGCTTTATCAATATGATTTATAAAGTCTTTGACATATTAAATCCAAAGGGCATTCATTTTGGTATTGAACATTTTTCTCAAAAAGCAAAAATAATTACAAGGACAACTAAAAAAAAAAAAACTGAAAGGCAGTTACGCAGTTGAATACTGACTAGTGACAAATACCAAGACATTTTCTACCAAATGATATTCAGTTAATGTTCTCGGTTTCAGGTTCCAAGGTATGACCCTTGTGGTCCCTTTGGGTCATGATGTTGCTCACACAGACAGACATTGAGATTCCTGTCCTCCTCTCTCTTCAGCTTGTGAAAGTTCATCCTGTCTGGTCTCTGTATCCCAAGACAGGCTGAACATTTATTTGCCTTTAGGCTGCATGTGAAGGATTCTCTTACTGCTTCTAGGCCTCCACATCAGCTCATGATTCTTCTCTGATTCCAGAGAGTCCAACAGGACAAAGTACCTCAAAAATACTCAGAGCCACAATTTGTTGTTCACATCCTTTCATTCAAGTGAGAAAGTACAAAGCTCCTGTCGTGAAGTTTATGTTTTTGATCTTGACTTAGGCTTATTTGTGCGATCAGATGAACCCACTCTAAAGTCTAGGTAAAATCCTTGAGTCCCTCTTAATTTTCCAGTTAGGCTGACCGGGAACTTCATTCTTGAACTGGAAATCTTATAGAATAGGTTATGTGGCTTATTCTCCTTAGAGAGTTGAAGAATGTACTTCTGATCATAAATGAATCAAATTCCCAGGTTTTAAATATTCTGATTCTTTCTTCCTTTTAGCTCTAGGAGAGTCAGAGATACTTTCCAGGATAGTGGCTTGGGTATAGGTTGTTGATATAAGGCAGGAAAAGAGATGGTATTCTCAGTTAACATACCTCTTAGGACCAACTGCTGGTAATTGGGCTAAGAAAGCAAAAGGATGGATAGAGATTTAGGCAGGCGGATGATTTATGAGTTATCTGACATATGGAAAAGTGGAGTCAAAGCCAAAGCTAAAATGAGAGCAGTTGAAAATTACAGGGCAACGCTCTCAAGGTAGGAACAAGCAGTAAATCAGATTTAGACGCGGAGGGCTCAGTACCCTGGATAGCTCTGTTGGAGATAAATCATTCAGATCATATCCTGAACCTGCCTCCACATTCTTTTAGAAACTGCTTATTAAAAGTAGCCTAGGCTTTTTTGGACACATTTTCATGGAGGATGGGATACAAGTGTTATTTTGATAAAAATGTTTGGTGTCAATGAATGCCCTATGAGATCAAGAACATAAATCAACAAATAGGTTGTGGTACGGAGACATAGTCTGCTCTACTCATTAGCAGTTCACGTCATGGGAACATTCCTTTTCCTTATCCAGAACCAGGTAAGACTATAACCTTGACAATTCACAGTTCATCTGTTAAATGTATGTTGTGTGGCCCTGTGATCGATGCTCCACATTTATTACTCAGAACTTTTCAGTACCTATTTGCCATACTGTGGAAAAGTTAAATTTGCCTCAATACTTTAATTAATTCCAACACAGAAATGTCAATGAACAGTCATGATGAGTGCTCAAAGGAAATGCCTGTAAGACAGACAACAGGTGACTCATTGCAAAGAATATACATTTTAGATGTGCAAAGAACATAGTGTGCTTAAAGCTTTTCATTGGCAGATGATTGAAATATGGAGGCTCTTGTGAGGTACACAGTGACTGTTATCATGAGTTTTTCTGATATGTTAAAATTTCTGGAAAATAATTGACACAGCCACAAAATCACTAGTATAGCCTTAGTCTTGGTGTACAGATGGATGATGTCAATTCTATTAAACTCAGAGTAGAAAAGTTTTTAAAAGATTAGCCTGAGAATTAAGCAGATTTTGCTGTCATACAATCACTTATGAGTCCTTGCAAGTCAGCCTTACCAGATACCAGCTAAGAATGAGAATTTGAGTCATAAAGAGCAATGAGTACTACAAAGAAACAAAAGCATATTCAAATCTAATTGGATGATTAATACTAAAATAGGAAGAGATTTAACAGGAGCAGACACATTTGAACTTGTCCCTTTTCCATTTTCTCTTAGAGATATGACATTTCATCCTTTCCTCAAAACCTAATAGTATAGGTTATGTGTCATACATATAAAATAAGCACATAGTATTCCCTTTGTTTCCAGTTTATCACTTAAGAGTGCCTCTTTGTGGGTCTGAAGTTGTATATTCTTAGAGCCAGTTACCTGCATATAAATATATAGAAAAAAGTGAATAATGCATGTTTCTCTTCCCTAATTCCCTAATATACAAAATATAAGAGAGTTGAGGTTTTTAACTCATGCACTGGGAGACTCAGTAATCTATCTATGGCTTCTTTGGCAAGGTTGTAATTGTGATGCAGTACAGGATGCAAAAGCTCTTAGGCTAGATAAGTACTAGAAACCTCTCATCTCTTGTTATCTGGGTTTCCAAGGTGATGAGAGTGTAGGAAGAAACTAGAAGATCAGGTGTAATATCATGGCTAATCATCTTTCTAAAAGATTTTTTTTTCCAGGATATTACCTGACTCTCACAGTGCCAGGGATTTTCCAGGCAAGACTAGCATCTTTCTTAAGTTACAACAATGTGTGAACAAATATAAGAAGCTACAAATACTGGGAAGGTAGATTCTGATCCCTGTAACAAAATAGTTGAATAGTAGAGCAGTCCAGAGGTACAAATTTGACAGTTTTATATTCCAGGTCCCACCACTGGTCGTTGGGGGCCAAGTGGAAGAAGGAAAGGAATTAGGAAATAATGAATGAATATATAGAAATAAGTATACGGCAAAGAGCTTAAAAAAATGCTTATAGGAAGGTAATTCTCAGCCAGGCACAGTGGCTCATGCCCATAATCCCAGCACTTTGGGAGGCCGAAGCTAGCAGATCACCTGAGGTCAGGAGTTCAAGACAAGCCTGGCCAACATGGTGAAACCCTGTCTCTACTAAAAATACAAAAATTAGCCAGGCGTGGTGGTGCGTGCCTTTACTCCCAGCTACCTGGGAGGCCGAGGCAGGAGAACTGCTTGAATCCAGGAGGAGGAGGTTGCAGTGAGCCGAGATCACGCCACTGCACTCCAGCCTGGGCAACAGAGCGAGATTCCATCTCCAAAAAAATAAAAAATAAAAAAATAACTCTCCTGCTCTTTACAACTCTGACACCAGTGTTTTTCCTGTTTCTGAAAAGAAGCAGGAGGATTATAAATTCCTCTGAATCTATGACAGAAACAAAAAAGATACAATGTATCATCAAGTAGAAGAGAGATTTATGACCTGAAATTGGTACATTTGTTCATATTTGTGCATTAGCAAACAGAAATAGGAACAGATCTTTGTCCTTAAAACATCTAAACTATAAGCACTTGAAGACAAAGATTAACCAATCTTTGAGTTGATATTTTCTAATGCAAGAAGGTTATGAATCTGATTTGAATTTCTCTGAGTATAGAGGAAGGTAAAGAAATACCAGAACCAGGGTAATGAGAAAAAAATGTAATTTCCCTTACCCAGTCAGTATGTAGGCATTCATCAATGCACTAGTGAAAGGAAATTTGTGGTTAATGGTGAATTCCCACACTCCCTATTGATTGTACAAATAGGGAGTGCAATTTGTACTCCTACAATGACACTTACATATGCATATCTGAAATTAGCTTGTATTGTCTATTAATAGAGTGTTTCTGGTTGATTCTGTCATATGGATTCTGTCATAAAGAATTCAGTTTTTCTTACCTAATAACACTTGTTGTCTCTATAAAGTCTTAAAATACAGTTTTTCACAAAAAGCCTGGACTATATAGACTCACATAAAATATTGTGGAAAATACCATTGTTCAGAATTGACAGACAAAATAAACATGGGTCCTTGTAGTCCACACATCCACAGGGAAGGCGTGATTAGTGAGCTAATGTTCAGGCACAAAGAATTATAATACACAAACTTGTGAGCCTGTGGAAAGCTTGAAGTGTAGTGGAGGCCGCAATTCCTTTAAGAGCCACACTGCTTACAGTGCATGAACTAACAAACACATTTTGTGTGACATAAAGTGTGGGGGCTGTGTTAACTGGGCATTACTCTTTATGCTCCAGCTACTTTTCCATATTTTATATTACTTGAATAAGTTCCTGAGTATGCGGTGGGAAAGCATGAATAAACGTAAAAGTTTACACTCTGAAAACTAAGAATTTATATAGAAAGCCTTCTTTGTTATGAAAGTAACCCACGGCAATTGACCAAAAGGCATATTGTTAAACTTCTGGGACTTTTTTAAAGCGTATAAATAAAGGGTACACACTGAGGCTCCAAACCTGCTTAGGTGTCTCCTAGTTCTGTAGCAGGTAGCTTGCCTGAAATTTTTCCCTGCCTGATAACTAATCTGGTTAACAATAAATTCTTGTGTTTTCATCCAGCAGATTAGTCCCGATATCAAGGCAATGTCAAGAGTGAAGGGGAGGATCAAGATTTTTTTTGAGTGATTGTTTCCTGGAAGGTAAGTTAGATACAGCAAAGATTGAAACAGGACTCATTTTGTAGTGGGGAGTTTTGGATGCAAAAGAGAATAACTATGTGGAAGTCTAAAACAGATGTTAAAGTTACTACATATTGCAAGGCATTTATTGAAGAAAGACTTGAGATTGTGACCTTGAGTAGTGGCTTTGCCCAGAATAGGCACTAAGGCCAGGTGGTACCTGCTACTAAAAATTGGAATCTTGTTATTGCTCCTTTTGCTCAGATCTAAATGCCTGAGCCAGCACCGTTATGCTACACATTTACTTCTCAGTTTCCTAAACAAGGATGACAAGTCTAATTTTATTATCCTTACTCTAGCAAAATACCCAGTGTCATCTGTAAGGACAATATGATCAAGTCCTTTGGCTGAAGAATGTATTTCCTCAGCCATAATGTCCCCAAGGCTTCTAAATAAAACAGATATTCAAACTTTACTTTTAGAAAAAAAATCACTATGCTGCATTTCTAAAAATAAGTTTTGTTCAGAAAGAGCTTCTGTAATGCTAGAAGGAAGCATTCTAGCTGAAGTTTATAGAGAGTGGCTGTGGAATCTCCTAACTGATGTATGGTCAACAGCCTGACATTAACTCTAGTCATGGGTAAAATGAAGCTAAAGGGTAAATGATCTGAAGCCTAGTGAGGAAAGACCAAGAGCAGCAGTGATTGAAGTTCTATGGGTCTTCTGGGTCAGACACAAATGCCTGCAGGGTCCAGGTTGGCAATGCATATTTGTAAGAAGCAGTGGGTATAATAGAACATGTAGCCTTAGGGACTATGACATGTCAAGCACACACATCTGGGGGCTAAAATTCGCATATGAACCACTAGTTTGTGATTCCATGCCAAAAAGGTCCTGTAAGTGTTTTCCAAAAATTTTCCCAGTGTTATGTGAAAGAGCCAACATATAGTTGAGTCTGTCATCTCTTATGATCATAGTTATTGAGACCATCTCTATGCGAGATACAAGGAACATCATCCATTACCACAGAAGAACCCATGCCCTTCTGGGCCCAGAAAACTCTTATTAAAATACTATCTTGGTAAAAAATTTTAAGGCTAAAATCGAGGGAGAAGATTTTTATTAACCAATAAAATAAAATATTTAATTATAATAATATTTAATTAATAATAAAATAAAATATTTAAACTAAATGCTGCATAGATTACAAGATCTAAGGTGAAAGAAAATTTTGGAGATAAAAGGAATGGAATCAAGGTAATAGGGCTATGTTTTCTGCTACAAACCAAATCGAGAAAACGTATGATTTTTTGGTGACTCATTGAGAGAATGCTTTTATCATGTGGCAAGGAGAAAAACTCTTTTGGAAGGAATAAGACCATTTTGTCCTAATCAAAACATTAGAAAATAGTTGAAAATAACATTCTTCTTCTTCCTTTGGAAACTCAGTTGTCTACTCAGTTGGAAGAAGTCTTTTCTTAAGATCAAGAGAAGAAGGCTCTTCTGTGTTGTGATTCTTTTAATGTTCCAACAAACAATAAAAGACATGCACACATAAAGCTTAACTAATTGATATCTTTCAGGAGTATTAAAGAGAGGCACAGAAGAATGCTTCTGCATAGGACATGAAAACATACTTGGTAATCAGCGATCATGTGGTAGCAGCCACACTGTTTAAGATCATGGATCAGAAATGTCTTTAAGATGTCAAACAAATGAAAAACAAAAACAAACATTTCATGGTCATGGACAGGAAAATCAATATTGTTAAAATGGCCATACACCCCAAAGCAATTTATACATTCAGTGCTATTCCTACCAATGGCATTTCTCACGGAATTAGGAAACACAATTTTAAAATTCATATGGTACCAAACAAGAGCCTGAATAACCAAAGCAATCCTAAGCAAAAAGAAGAAAGCTGAAAGTATCACACTACCCAACTTCAAACTATACTACAAGACTACAGTAACCAAAACAGCATGGTACTGTTACAGAACTAGACACATAGACCAATGGAACAGAACAGGGAATTAACTCCCTATTCAATAAATGGTGCTGGGTAACTGGCTACCCATACGCAGAAGACAGAAATTGAATTCCTTCCTTTCACCATACACAAAAATCAACTCAAGATGGATTAAAGACTTAAATATAACATCTAAAACTATTTAAAAAAACCTACAGGAATACCTAGAAAATACCATTCTGGACAGAGACCCTGACAAAAGTTTTATGACAAAGACTCCAAAAGCAATTGCAACAAAAACAAAAGTTGACAAGTGGGACCTAATTAAAAGAGTTTTTGCACAGAAAAAGAAACTACTAACAGAATAGACAGACAAACTACAGAATGTGAGAAAAAGTTGAAAAAGTATAAATCAGGCAGAGGTCTAATATTCAGCATTTATATGGAAGTCAACTCAATAAGCAAACAACCTCATTAAAAAATGGGCAAATGACATGAAATGACATGAACAGACACTTCCCAAAAGAAGACATACACATGGCCAACAAGCATAAAAATAAGTGTTCAACATCACTAATCATTAGAGAAATGCAAATCTAGTAATAAGTGAAAAAATAACAGATGCTGATGAGGTTGCAGATAAAAGGGAATGCTTATACACTGCTATTGGGCATATAAAGTAGGTTAGCCACTGTGGAAAGCAGTTTGGAGATTTCTCAAAGAACTTAAAGCACAGCTAACATTCAACCCAGCAATCCCATTATTGGGTATATACCCAAAGGAGTATAAATTGTTCTACCATAAAGACACATGCATGTGTATGTGAATCACTGCACTATTCACAACAGCAAAGACACACATGGAATCAACCTAGATGCCAGCAATGGTGAACTGGAAAAAGCAAATATTGTATATATACACCATGGAATACTATGCAGCCGTAAAAAAATAACAAAATCATGTGTTTTGCAGCATCATGGGTGGAGCTAGAGGCCATACATAATACTAAGCAAATTAACACAAGAACAGGAAACCAAATATTGCATGTTCTTTCTTTAGGCGGGAGCTAAACATTGAGTACAAATGGATACTAAGAAGGGAACAATAGACACTGGGGCTTACTTGAGGGCAAGGATGGAGAAACTGCCTATCAGATACTATGGTCATTACCTGGGTGATGAAAAAATAATTTGTACACCAAACCCCTGCAACTTATCCATATGACAAACATGCACATGTACCCTCTGAACCTAAAATAAAAGCAGAAAAAAATGAAAAAAAAATCCCGGTCTCAAAAAGAAAAAAGTTCTTTAACTAGAATTTCATTCATTCACTCAACAAACACCACCAGCACTAGGAATGTATCTGGAAATAAATCCCTGCGCTCTTCAACTTCCAATCCAGTGCAATTAGCAAATAAATTAATGCATGTTGAACATATCAGATAGTAATATGTGCTATGAAGAAAATGTAGTATAATAAAATAGAAGGAGATGACAGATGCTGTGGTCGCAAAAGTGGTCAGAGAAAACCTCTCTGATAAGGTAATATTTGAGCTGAGACTTTGAGGAAATAATGCGGTGAGCCATCTCATTCCATTACGTTTGTGCCCTGGGTAGAAAACAGCAATTTCCAGTTGTCAAAGATCTGAAGATAGGAGTGGGATTTTCATATTTGAAGCAAAAGAGGTCATTGTATATCGACTAAAGAGAATGGTGGTAGCCCTAGTTCCATTTGGTTATGTCATGTTATGTAGTCCCTTGAAGGTCAAAGCAAAGACTGTATCTTAATTGAAGTGGGATAGGAAGCACTGCAGCATTTTATGCAAAGTAGTAACTCAATCTAGTTCACATTTTGAAACTAATAATTTAGAGACCATTTGAAAAATATGTTCTAGGAGTTCAGGAGTATAGGAGCAGAGAGACTGGCTCTTCCAGTAATCCAAGTGAGAGAGAATGACTTGAATTAGGATGGAAGCAGGTGAAGGCAAGAAGCTAAACTACCTAGATTTGCTGATGTATTAGGTATGTAGAAAAAAATAGTCAAAGATGATGCTGTGGTTTAGCATAAGCAATCAAAAGAACAGAGTTGCAATTTACTAAGAAACATCTGGATCTGAAAGCAGCATGTTCAGACACTAGAGGAAAATTTAGAGTTCAGTTGTGGAAATATTGAGTTTCAGATGCCTTCTCCATGTGTAAAATTTGAGTAGGCAGCTGAGTATACAGCTTTGGAGAGCTAGAGTTATAAATTAGGAGTTAGTATACAAAAATACATAAAACCATGAGGCTTGATGAAATCACCTGGGGAATGAGTATAAAGAGACAAGAAAAGATGTCCTAGGACTAACATTTAGAGGCTGAGAACATGAGGCAATTCCAGCAAAGGGAACTAAGAAAGACTTACTTGTTAAAGGGAAATGAAGAAAATTATATCCTGGTAGCCAAGTGAAAAAAGGTGTTTTAAAGAAAATTAGTAAGCAAACATTAACTGTGGCTATTTGGTAAAGTAAAATGGCACTTGAGAACTGACCGCTGGATTTTGAAGTTTACAACTGGCTGGTAACTTTGATTAGAGCACTTTCAGGAAAGCGGTAGGGAAGAACAATGATAGAGTAGAATCAAAATCGAATGAGCATTATTTTCTCCAGCCAAAATTGAGTAAGATTCATCATCCCCCTTGAAATAATTAAAGGGGGAAAATATAATAAGCAGACAACATATATGAGACAATGGTTTAAGACGCTGGTTATCAAGCAATGAAGAACAGTGATTTCTAAGACACTGGAAACAAGTAGCTGAGCCCTATAGTTCCTCCAGTTGACAGTTTTGAGAGAGTTTCCAAGACTGCACCACCAAAAGGAGGCAGAACCAAGGCAGAGTTTTGCAGTAAGATGACCAGCTCGTTCCAGTTTGTCTGGACTTTTCCATCTTAAAAGTCAAAGTTCTGAATCTGACAATCCCCTTCCACCCAAATCCCATGATAACAGGAAGAGTTGGTCACTTTACCTGAAGAACTTGAATTAAAGTGGAGCTGAGAATCAAGAAAACTAAATCAGCTACAGCTCACAGGGAAGACTACCAGAAAGGAAAAGCAGTACAGAGATCTGAAGGTCACCCTCAATTTTGCAGCTGAGTATTGATTAGCATATTCAGATAAGGAAATTGCCTGAGACTGGGAAAGAACCAAATGAAAGGATTAAAGGCAACAGAATGTGGTTTTTCTGATAAGAAAAACCATGAATAGTTCCTATTTCTGGAGCCAGTCAGGAAAGTATCAGGTTTTGTAGGACATTAGGTGAAGCAGTCAGAAGTATCTTGCCTCAGTACTGGTAATAATTAGCTCTAGGTGAAACAATGCTATGGTTTCAACCTAACAAGTCTTTAAGGCTGAAAAGATCAAAGTGTTCACAAGTTAATTAAGTACATTCTAGAGCAAAGCTCAAGAAAAGTTATAGGAAGACAAAAACATGCAATGCCCAAAGAAGTAAAATTCACAATAAATGTCATCAAAAATTATCAGACAGGAAGGACATCAGCAAAATGGAGAAATAGGAGGCTCCTGAATATCCCACCTCCCAAAGACACACCAAGTGAACACCTACACACTGATCAATTCTCTCCTAGAGAAAGCTGGAATTGAGTTGAAAGACTCCCATACAATGGACAAATGAAAAATTATACAAATTAAAACACATAGGAAAAGTGGAGATACACTCGCTAACTCCACACTGAGCACACAATCTTATGCATGGGAAGGAAACCCCAGCTTTTTCCCAAATTTTACAGTCCCTGCTGGAGCTCCTGGCTTTTAATCTCTGTGCTTGAGGAGAAAAGTGAAAAAAGAGTGAAGACAGCCTAAGAAACTTATATGATACCATCAAGCAGAATATTATCACATTATTAGGGTAGCAGAAGGAAAAGAGAAACAAACAATGGCAGAAAACTGCCTGCATTAGAAGAAGGAAATAGAAATCCCAATCCAGGCTGGGCATAGTGGTTCATGCCTGTTATCCCAGCACTTTGGGAGGCTGAGGTGGGCAGACCACTTGAGGTCAGGAGTTTGAGACCAGCCTGGCCAATATGGTGAAACCCTGTGTCTACTAAAACTACAAAAATTAGCAGGCTATGGTGGCAGGTGCTTGTAATCCCAGCTACTCTCATAAGCTGAGGCAGAGGTAGCAGTGAGCCAAGATCACACCACTGCACTCCAGCCTGGGAGACAGAGCAAGACTCTGCCTCAACTAAGAAAAAAAAAAAAAAAAAAAAAAGGAAGAATCACCCCAATCCAGGAAGTATATTAGTTAGAACTAATAAATGAATTCAGTAAAAATTATTCAGGATACCAAATCAACATACAAAACCAGTAGCTTTTCTATACACTAACAGCAAACTATCTGGAAAAGAAATTGAGAAAACAGTCTGATTTACAATAGTAACAAAAAAATTAAAATACTTGGAAATAAATTTATCCAGGACGTGAAATACCTCTATGCCCCAAACTGTAAAACACTGATAAAAGAGACTGAAGGAGACACAAACAAATGGAGGTATATCCTATGTTTATGGACTGGAAGAATTAATTCTGTTAAAATGCCCATACTACACAAAATGATCTACAGATTCAATGCAATCTCCATCATAATTCCAATGTCATTTTTCAAAAAAAAATTCTAAAATTCATATAGAACTGCAAGACACCAAATATGCAAAATTTGCAATCTTAAGCAAAAACGAGGCTGGAGACCTCATACTCCCTGGTTTCAAAATATATTGTGGAAGCTATTGCAATCAAAAGAGCATGGTACTGCCAGAAAAACAGATATATCAGCCAACGGCATGGGTGAGACAGCCTAGAAATTAACTCAAGTATTTATGGTTAGTTGATTTTCAACAAAGATGCCAAGAACAATTGGGATAGGACAGTCTTTAATAAACTGTGTTAGCCAAACTGAATATCCACATGCAGGAGAATGAAATTAAACTTTTATCTTATGCCACATGCAAAAATTATCTGAAAATAGATAGATGCCTTAAACGTAAGTCCTGAAACTGTAATGTTCTCAGAAGACAACATAGGGGAAAAGCTCCATGGCACTGGTCTGGACAATGATTTTGTTCGGATAAGACTCCAAAAGCACAGACAAAAATGCAAAAAGTACACAAATGAGATTGCACCAAACTAGAAAGACTCTATACAGCAAAGAAAACAATAAACAGAGTGTGAAGATAATTAACTGATTGGGAGGAAATATTTGCAAATGATGCATCTAAAAAGGGGCTAACAGCCAGAATATACAAGGAACTCAACTCAATAGCAAGAAAACAAATAACTTCATTAAAATATGAGCAAAGGATCTGAGCAAATAATTCTCAAAAGAAGCTATATAAATAGCCAACATATATATGAAAAAATGCTCAATATCTCCAATCAGGAAAATGTACATTAAAACCACAATGAAATATCATGTCACACTTGTTAGAATCACTCTTATTAAAAAGATGAGTGAATCACAAGTATTGGCAAGGATGTGGGAAAAAAGGAACCCTTGTGCACTGTTGGAGGGAATGTAAACTAGTACACCCATTTTGGAGAATAGTATTAAATTTCCTCAATAAACTAAATATAGAACTACTATATGATCCAGGAATCCCACTTTTGGGTATATATCCAAAGGAATTATTGTGATTATTAGCATTATTCACAATAACCAAGACATAGAAGCAACTAAGTATCCCTCAGTGGAGTAATGGATAAAGAAAATGTAGTCTTATATACACAATGAAATAATATTCAGCCTTAGGACATTCTATCATTAGTGACAACATAGATGGACCTTATGTTAAGTGAAATAAACCAAAGACAAATACTGTATGATCTCACTCACATGTTGAGTCTTAAAAAGAATCTCATAGAGACAGTAGAGAGGTGATAGCAGAGGCTAGGGGGAAAAAGGGAGGGATAGAGAAAACAAAAGTGTTGACCAAAGGATATAAAGTTTCGGGTAGACTTGAGAAATAAGTTTTAATGATCTATTGCACTGTGTGGTGACCACAGTTCATGATAACATATTTCACATGCACTCAGACAGATTACAGATTTGGCAAAAACAATTCCGGTGATCAAACAGAACTACTAGGTGTCTTCTTACCCTACTGTGCACATAATTGCTTTTGAACCAGGAAGTAACTTCACTGGCTTCTTGAGGCAAATGTGGCTTTAAGTAAAAGCTCTCGGAATGTCATTAGCTGGAAGAAATGCCCATGAAGGCAAATAACACATTTTAAACTGAAGTTTTCATTGTTGCCATGTTGCATAACCAATTCACTCATCCGAATTTCCCACCAAAGGCATTGGGTCTAAATGGAAAAAAAACTTCATTTGTAACATCTTGAAATTCACTTTTAGAAGACTTGATTACATGTAATTCTAAATCTGTCATGGTTTCAGGATTTAATTGAAATCTATTTTCCTCTGCAAAGTCCACCAGATCTTCAAATAAGCATTTATAAGGTACATTACTTTTTCCAGTCATTAATACATAAGTGAGATTATTTTAGAATCTTCAGATCCAACAAGGGCATGAATTGTATATAGTTAATAAAAATAGTGGGGACAGTTTTGCAAGTGTCATCCATTTTAGCCAAAATGAAACATGTGCTAGTTTTTCTGTTAGATTTAGTGGATTATATAAGTAGTGTATCTTCTTCAGTAGTAAAATTCATAATAAAAAATAGTTTACCATTTAATGTGTTTTATAACACTAGAGGAACATCAATATCAGCAAGTGTTAAGAAGCTCTTTGAGCTTGTTAAATTATTTGTATTCTCCAACAAAGGGCGGCGTTTGCAGGCAAGCATGCTGCAGTGTTTGAAGGGGCAGAAGTTTTACACAATCGAATAATTCGGCATAGGAGATTTATTGAATCTTTTTCCTGCATTTTCACTTCTTTAGTCTTCAAAATACTCACTGCGTGTATTAGTCTGTTTTCACACTGCTGATAAAGATATACCCCAGACTCGGCAATTTACAAAAGGAAGAGGTTTAATGGACTTACAGTTCCATGTGGCTGGGGAGGACTGACAGTCATGGTGGAAGGTGAAAGACATGTATCACATGGCAGCAGACAAGAGAGCTTGTGCATGGAAACTCTCGTTTATAAAACCGTCAGATCTCGTGAGACTCATTCACTATCACGAGAACAGCACGGGAAAGACCTGCCCCCATGATTCAACCACCTTCCACCGTGTTCCTCCCACAACATGGGGGAATTTGAGATGAGATTTGGGTGGGGACACAGCCAAACCACATCACTACACTTGTATTTGGAGAGAGGTTCACAGTACATCCCTTATCAGCTTGGCACCCATATGCATGTCCTTAAACAATACTTACTCCAAATAAAGAAAATAACAAGATAATAACTCCACCTAACATGATGCAACTATTCTGTGATTTTAGACTTCAGGGGTTACGGTGTTTAGGATTGTGTCTCTAGACATTATGACTCAAACCAGTATATATCATGTTTCCTTTTTTCTTTTCTTTTTTTTTTTTTTAAGAGAGAGACAGGATCTTGCTCTGTCATCCAGGCTGGAGTATTGTAGTGGTGTGATTATAGCTCACTGCAACCTCAATCTCTTGGTTTTAAGTGATCCTATTGCCTCAGTCTGCCAAGAAGTTGGGCGTGCATGCCACCATGCCCAGCCAGTAGTTTTTATTTTCTGTAGAGAATAGGGCTGACTATGTTGCCCAGGCAAGTCTCGAACTCCTGGCCTCAACCATCCTCCTGCCTTGGGCTTCCAAAGTGCTGGGATTACAAGCATGAGCCAGCACACCTGGACCGTATTTTCTTTATTTATTATCTATCAATAGATGTTTGGGTTGTTTCCACATTTTGACAATTGTGAATAATGCTGCAATGAACATGGAAGTGCAGATACTGCTTCAAGATCATAATTTCAACTTCTTTGGATATATATACTCCAAAGTGGGATTATTGGATCATATGTTAGTTTTATTTGTATTTTTGACAAATCTCTGTACTGTTTTCCATAGTGGCTATACCATTTTATATTCCCACCAACAATGTACAAGTGTTCTGATTTTTCCACATCCTCTCCAATTCTTTTGTTTTTTATAATAGCCATCCTGATTGGTGACATCACATCATGGTTTTGATATGCACTTTTTGATGATTAGTGATGTTGAGCACCTTTTCATATATCTGTTGTCCATTGTTATGTCTTCTTTGTAGAAATGTCTATTCAGGTCCTCTGCCCATTTTTAAGATGGGTTATTTGGGGTTTTTTTTTCCCATTGAGTTACAGGAGTTTCTTATATTTTTTGAGTATTAACCCTCATTCCACCATTTTATAAGTTACTCTTTTACTCTTTTGTTTCCTTTGCTGTGCAGAAGCTTTTTACATATACATAGTCACACTTGCCTGTTTTGTTTTGTTGCCTGTGCTTTTTGTGTCGTATCCAGAAATAATTCCCAAGACCAAAGTCAAGAAGCTTTACTATCTGAAACTATAAAACTCCTAGCAGAAAACATAGGGGAAATATACATTTTAAATGCCAAACAGCAAGAATCTTTTGCTAAGTATCCAAATATGTTGATGTAACCCGATAGAGATTACAAGTGTGTAAAGCTTGTGACATGGTAAAACTTCTTTTTAATACTCCCATGGAAGCTTCATTGGACTTACTCATCAGTATCACTATGTTGGCTAAAATGAATAGCCAGTTAGATCTTGTCTCAAGTTCTGTTTCTAACGTCATAGCATCATGCACCCCAGTATTATTGACTATAACAGTTATTTCTATGGCCTTTGGAATATTTGAAGCACAGCCACGTTTTAGAATGATTTTTCTCCAAATACAAAAGTTGCTTGCTGTTAAAAGCTCCACACCACTTTTGTCTTATGAACTGTAGTACATAGATCTGTATATTTCATTTTACCTTCAGTTAATACTAGGACAACAAGCACTGAAGCTCTGCCAGGACCTGTAACATAACAGCAATGTGACAACCAAGCTCTTTACAAAACTTGTTACAAGACTGGATGGCGGTACGCCAACATTAAAAAATCATGGATGCCTTCTTTCTTCACCAGGGTTGTGCTATAAATTTTTTCACATATTCCTACTATTGCAATAGCTCTGTACTTCTTAAATTTTTCTATAATTTTAAGATTGCGTTGGTCAGATTCTATGTAATAAAAAAAAATGGTCTTGTATCTGATTTCCACAGGGACTGAGCAGTGTATTTGAGCCATGTTAATTGAGTTAATGACATCCATTAAGTTTATGAAAGAATTTTTAAAATTGAATACAGAAATGAAAAGAAACTAAAAGTCTTCTTCAACATACTTGACTTGTAATTCTCAGTGCTTCAAGTATGAAGTTGGGAGTAATAGGAAATAAAAAGCATCACCAAACGAGATGCAGCAATCCTTCAATCTGGTAGTACTGAGCCACTAGAAAGGAATTACACTGAGGTGTGCCCTATCCAGGTAAAACCTTTTGGAAAATGTTCTGTAAATTTCAATTCAAAATTCTGTGTCAACTTTAACCATAATGTGGGGAACCTTGGTGGATTAATGATGAATTTCAACAATTCATTTGTCTCCACAGAGGTCGGGCTGTGCTTGGTTGGAATTTCTACTGCCCTTCAGAAACTCCATAAATATGACCAAAAACACCACAGGAAAAATATGTGTTTCCTCATTGAAGATTGTGGTCTAATCATACAACTGGTCTATAGGCAGTTGCAACACAGGTGGTGAGACCACAGGCTCTGCCATTCAGTGGATGACTCCAAAGAGAACATGGTCCCAAGTTGGCCCACATTAGAGGAAGCCAATATGCATGCTGAGGCTCAAAGTTTAGTTTTTACTCAAGGAATGAAATCTGGGAGAGGAAAGGAATTCCAAACAATGTCAGTGAAGAATAATTTTGTGAACTGAACCTACTGAGCCAAGAGAAGGACTTACTTAAGGGATGGAGGTGGATATTTGTGTGTATTTTGTAGGAGAAGTATAAGGATGTTCATGGGTTGGACAGGGGGTCTGTTAGTTGTCCTTCAGGATTACTGTAATTGCTATGGTTCCAAAGGGTAGACCAGAACCTCCTGGCTGAAAACGCTTTAGAAACTTACCCTTCAGAATAAAACTTATAATTTTCACCACATCATACGTAGTCTGCTTACGTTGCTATCCTCATTTGCCATGCATCCTCTCCTCCTTCATCTTATTCTCTAGCAATTCATGTTCCTTGTCACAACTCTAAGGTTCATGTTTTCCTACCTCTGTCCCTTTGTTAAAAAAGGTGGTTGTGGGAGGCTGGTAAGAGTTAAAACCTGGATACTCAGCTCCAAACTTTCCATCAAATCTAGTTTCCTTCTTACTAATTGGAACATGATTATGATGTACACCTAGTTTTAGATACCATCCTAAAAGTAATAGACCCACTTGCTTATACAATCATTACAGAAAGATAGATCAGAATCTGCCTTTAACTTTGAAGCTGTCTGCTCCACTTACCAACTCCCAGGAGAGAATGTCAGTCCTCATGTCACTGTGTGGCCTTTCCATTCAGGGATTATCGACTTTCTGCTCCAAAGGCTGCTTTCAGCAATGCAGGGGCCTTCAGTCAACAGAATTCTTATTTTTAGAAATGCTGCATTTTCTAAAAATAGTCCCTGATAGTTCTTATTGTCTAAATCTAAAATCCCCTTGGGTAAATGCATATGAGTACACATCTTTACAATTATGGGACCTGACTAGGAAGTTGTAACACTGACATAAAATTCCAAGGATTGAGGACAAATAAGATGACTTGTATAATATTTTTAAATCTCTGGATAGAAACTGCTATATACATCCAAGGTAAGACAGAATAATAGTATTAAAAAAAAAGAATATGGCAGACCTAAAATAACTAGCCATCAAGGAAACATACACACACACACACACACACACACACCAGTTCCCTCACTGGTTTTTAGTCAGGTTGCTAAAGGACAGTTATGAATATTAATGTTAAAGGACCTATAATCTGAGAGGATGGTTTCCCAAGCTTTCCCCTGTGTCTTTTCCATGGGCTTTTTGTGCATTCCTCTAAGTTCAGTTAAGAAAGGAGAAAAAAATGCTCATTTTAGGGGAGTTTCCTAAACCAGCAAAATTATCAAGGATTGTGAGTAATCCCTCTCCTGTAATTATCTGTTTTCATCTTCCTCTTTAATAATCTTTTTCTTTGTTGTATTGTTGTCTTTGTCTTATTATTATTACACTTTAAGTTCCAGGGTACATGTGCACAATGTGCAGGTTTGTTACATATGTATACAGGTGCCATGGTGGTGTGCTGCACCCATTAGCTTGACATTTATATTAGGTATATCTCCTAATGCTATACCTCCCTGCTCCCCCAACCCCATGACAGGCCCTGGTGTGTGATGTTCCCCACCCTGTGTCCAAGTTTTCTCATTGTTCAATTCCCTTTGTCTTCTTTTAAGGTAACATTTCTATTCACTGCTACAACTCAAGGGCCTCTTCTCCACTTTTACCTTACTGCAAGTGCCTTTTCTGTTCAATGGCAGACAATGAAAGTATGAAGGGTTTCAGAAATTCTCCTCCTTCCCCCTTCTTTATATTAACCTCAAAAACATCACACTTGCCCTAGTTCTGTGGACCTCTTGCCCAACCCCACTCCAATACTGTAAATTCTCCCTACTCCTGCTGACACTGTCAGTTACATCCAACACAGTGAGTCTTATAGTTCCTGCTAAAATAATGCCACATCAGGAATTCTCTTTTGCCTCTTCCCATTTGTCTCTCAGGAAGATGAACCAAAATCATCTGCTATCTGACCATTTCAAAATGGGGCAGACACATTTTAGGAAGCATGGTCACTATACATTTTGGCCTAGAAGTTCATACTTCCTATTTCCCCAGGGAGAACGTGGCCACCTCACAACTCTTCCAGACTTGCATCTCTTTTCATCTCTGTATTTCTGAGAACCCATCTGATCTCTGTTCTTATCTTCCTCTGGGGAAGTGGATAGATAGACATGAAGCTTTGAAGTTACTGAGGGTTGTTGATTTTTATTTTCACTGTTTATAAACTATTATTAGTCATGACTCATCAATCCTTTCATAACCTTAGCTTTCTCGTTTGTAAAAGTCACTTGTGTATGCCTATTTCTCACTTTCCAGAATCTCAGTTCCAATATACTTGAAATTCAGGACATTCCTATTAGGATCCTACTTGTAAATATTTTTTAAATATATTTCATCACAATCCTCTAAATTTCGAAAGCAAGAAGTGCACTAAAGTATATCCTATGTATCATTCATGAGAACTTCTAACCTAGAGAGGCCAACATTATATTCAGAAAGTGTGGAGAACCCCAATAAGACACTCTGCAAGATCATCTCCAAGACACATAATCATCAGATTAACCAAGATCAAAATGAAAGAAAAAATGTTAAAGGCAGCTAGAGAGAAACACCAGGTCACCTGAAATGGGAAGCCCATCAGACTAACAGCAGACCTCTTAGTGGAAACATTAAAAGCCAGAAGAGATGGGGGCCAATAAACAACATTCTTAAAAACATTCCAACCCAGAATTTCACATCCAATCAAACTAACCTTCATAAGCAAAAGAAAAATAGGATCCTTTTCAGACAAGCAAAGGCTGAGGGTATTTTTTTACCACCAGACCTGCCTTACAGTAGCTCCTGAAAGAGGCACTAAATATGGAAAGGAAAGACCATTACTAGCCACTACAAAAACACTCTGAAGTACACAGACCAGTGACACTATGAAGCAACCGCATTAACAAGTCCTCAAAATAAACCTTCCAGCATCATTATGACAGGATCAAATTCACACATATCAAAACTAACCTTAAATGTAAATGGGCTAAATGTCCCAATTAAAAGACACAGAGTGGCAAGCTGGATAAAGAACCAAGACCCAGTGGTATGCTGTCTTGAAGAGACCCATCTTACGTGCAGTGACACACATATGTTCAAAATAAAGGAATGGAGAAAAGTCTACCAAGAAAATGGAAAACAGAAACAAGCAAAGGTTGCAATCCTATTATCTGACAAAACAGACTTCAAACCAACAAACATAAAGCAAGACAAAGAAGGGCATTACCTAATGGTAAAGGGTTCAACTCAACAAGAAGATATAATTATTTTAAATATATATGCACCCAACACGGGGCACCCAGATTCCTAAGGCAAGTTCTTAGAGACCTTCAAAGAGACTTAGACTACCACACAATAATGCTGAGAGACTTTGACACCTGACTCACGATATTGGACATATTATTGAGGCAGAAAATTAACAAAGATATTCAGGACCTGAACTCAACACTGGCTCAAAGAGACCTGATAGATAACTACAGAAATCTCCACCAAAACCAACAGAATATACATTCTTCTCATCACCACATGGCACATACTCTAAAATCAACCACACAATTAGAAGTAAAACAGTCTTCAGCAAATGCAAAAAAACTGAAACTGAAAACTGAGAGTCTGAGGCAGTCCCTGAAAAACAAAAAACTGAAAACTGAGGGACAGTCATAATAAATGGGCAAAAGCTGGAAGCATTCCCTTTTAAAACTGACAGGAGAAAAGGATGTCTTCTCTCACCATTCCTATTAACATAGTATTAGAATTTCTGTCCAGGGCAGTCAGGCAAGAGGAAGAAATAAAAGGCATCCAAATAAAGAGAGAAGAAGTGAAACTATCCTTGTTCGCAGACAACATAAAAACACCGTACATAGTTCCAGCCCAAAAGTTTCGTAAGCTGATAAATAACTTTAGCAAAGTCTCAGAAAACAAAAATCAGTATACAACAATCACTAGCATTTCTATACCCTGACAACAGCCAAGTCAGGGGCCAAATCACGAACAAACTCCCATTCATAATTGCCACAAAAGAATAAAATACCTAGGAGTATAGCTAACTTGGAAGTGAAAGATCTCTACAAGGAGAACTGCAGACCACTGCTCAAAGAAATCAGAGATGACACAAATAAATGGAAAAACATTCCATGCTCATAGATATGAAGAACTGATATTGTTAAAATGGCCATACTGCCCAAAGCAGTGTATAGATTTGATGCTTTTCCCATTAAACTGTCATTGAGACTCTTCATCAAACTAGAAAAAAAAAAACTATTTGAAAATTCATAGGAACCAAAAATGAATGTGAATAGCCAAGGCAATCCTAAGCAAAAAGAAAAAACCTGGAGGCGTCACACTACCCAACTTCAAGCTATACTACAGAGCTACAATAACCAAAATAGTATGGTACAATAACAGACACACAGACCAATGGAACAGAATAGAGAACCAAGAAATATGGCCACACACCTAACAACTATGTGACCTGCAAAAACCTGGCAAAAACAAGCAATGGGGAAAGGATTCCCTACTGAATTAATGGTGCTGAGATAACTGGTTAGCCATATGCAGAAGATTGGCATTGGACTCCTTCCTTACACCAAGTACAAAAATCAACTCAAGATAAACGGACTTAACTGTAAAACCCGAAGCTATAAAAACCCTGGAAGACAACTTAGGAACACCATTCAGGACAAAGGCATGGGCAAAGATTTCATGAAGAAGACGCCAAAAGCAATTGCAACAAAACCAAAAATTGATAAATGCAACCTAATTAAACTTAAGAGCTTCTACACAGCAAGAGAAAGTATCAACAGACAACCTACAAAATGTGAGAAAATTTTTGCAAACTATGCATCTGACAAAGGTCTAATATCCAGCTTCTATAAAGAACTGAAACTAATTTACAAGAAAAAACCAACAACCCCATTTAAAAGTGGGCAAAAGACATGAACAGACACTTTTCAGAAGATGACATACATGCGGCCAACAATCACATGTAAAAAAGCTCAACATCTCAACATTAGAGAAATGCAAATCAAAACCACAATGAGATACTATCTCACACCAGTCAGAATTGCTACTAAAAAAAATCCAGGGGCAGTTCCAAGATGGCTGAATAGGAACAGCTCCAGTCTACAGCTCCCAGTGTGAGCGACACAGAAGATGGGTGATTTCTGCATTTCCAACTGAGGTACCGGGTTCATCTCACTGGGGCTTGTCAGACAGTGGGTGCAGGACAGTGGGTGCAGTGCATCGAGCATGAGCCGAAGCAGGGTGAGGCATTGCCTCACCTGGGAAGCCCAAAGGGTCAGGGAATTCCCTTTCCTAACCAAGCGAAGCTGTGACAGACGGAATCTGGAAAATTGGGTCACTCCCACCCTAATACTGCGCTTTTCCAATGGTCTTAGCAAATGGCACACCAGGAGATTATATCCAGTGCCTGGCTCAGAGGGTCCCACGCCCACGGAGCCTCACTCATTGCTAGCACAGTAGTCTGAGATCGAACTGCAAGGCGGCAGCGAGGCTTGGGGAGGGGTGCCCACCATTGATGAGGCTTGAGTAGGTAAACAAAGCAGCTGGGAAGCTCCAACTGGATGGAGCCCACCGCAGCTCAAGGAGGCCTGCTGGCCTCTATAGACTCCACCTCTGGGGGCAGGGCATAGCCAAACAAAAGGCAGCAGAAACCTCTGCAGACTTAAATGTCCCTGTCTGACAGCTTTGAAGAGAGTAGTGGTTCTCCCAGCACGGAGTTTGAGATCTGAGAACGGACTGACTGCCTTCTTAAGTGGGTCCCTGACCCCCGAGTAGCCTGTCTGGGAGGAACCCCACAGTAGGGGCAGACTGACACTTCACACGGCCGGGTACCCCTCTGAGACAAAACTTCCAGAGGAATGATCAGGCAGTGACATATGCTGTTCAGCAATATCCGCTGTTCTGCAGCCTCCACTGCTGAAATCCGGGCAAACAGGGTCTGGATTGGACCTCCAGCAAATGCCAACAGACCTGCAGCTGAGGGTCCTGACAGTGAGAAGGAAAACTAACAAACAGGAAGGACATCCACACCAAAACCCCATCTGTACATCACCATCACCAAAGACCAAAGGTAGATAAAACCACAAAGATGGGGAAAAAACAGAGCAGAAAAACTGAAAATTCTTAAAATCAGAGTGCCTCTCCTCCTCCAAAGGAATGCAGCTCCTCACCAGCAATGGAACAAAGCTGGACAGAGAATGACTTTGATGAGTTGAGAAAAGAAGGCTTCTCTGAGCTAAAGGAGGAAATTCAAACCCATGGCAAAGAAGTTAAAAACCGTGAAAAAAGATTAGACGAATGGCTAACTAGAATAACCAATGCAGAGAAGTCCTTAAAGGAACTCATGGAGCTGAAAACCACAGCACGAGAACTATGTGATGAATGCACAAGCTTCAGTAGCCGATTCGATCAACTGGAAGAAAGGTTATCAGTGATGGAAGATCAAACCAGCTAACATCATAATGACAGTATCAAATTCACACATAACAATACTAACCTTAAATGTAAATGGGCTAAATGCTCCAATTAAAAGACACAGACTGGCAAATTGGATAGAGTCAAGACCCATCAGTGTGCTGTATTCAGCAAACCCATCTCACGTGCAGAGACACACATAGGCTCAAAATAAAGGGATGGAGGAAGATCTACCAAGCAAATGGAAAACCAAAAAAGGCAGAGGTTGCAATCCTAGTCTCTGATAAAACAGACTTTAAACAAAGATCAAAAGAGACAAAGAAGGCCATTACATAATGGTAAAGAGATCAATTCAACAAGAAGAACTTACTATCCTAAATATATATGCACCCAATACAGGAGCACCCAGATTCATAAAGCAAGTCCTTAGAGACCTACAAAGAGACTTAGACTCCCACACAATAATAATGGGAGGCTTTAACACCCCACTGTCAACATTAGACAGATCAACAAGACAGAAAGTTAACAAGGATATCCAGGAATTGAACTCAGCTCTGCACCAAGCAGACCTAATAGACATCTACAGAACTCTCCACCCCGAATCAACAGAATATACATTCTTCTGAGCACCACAACACACTTATTCAAAAATTGACCACAGAGTTGGAAGTAAGGCACTCCTCAGGAAATGTAAAAGAACAGAAATTATAACAAACTATCTCTCAGACCACAGTGCAATCAAACTAGAACTCAGGATTAAGAAATTCACTCAAAACCACTCAACTACATGGAAACTGAACAACCTGCTCCTGAATGACTACTGGTTACATAACGAAATGAAGGCAGAAATAAAGATGTTCTTTGAAATCAATGAGAACAAAGACACAACATACCAGAATCTCTGGGACACATTTAAAGCAGTGCATAGAGGGAAATTTATAGCACTAAATGACCACAAGAGAAAGCAGGAAAGATCTAAAATGGACACCCTAACATCACAATTAAAAGAACTAGAGAAGCAAGAGCAAACACATTCAAAAGCTAGCAGAAGGCAAGAAATAACTAAGATCAGAGCAGAACTGAAGGAAATAGAGACACAAAAAACCCTTCAAAAAATCAATGAATCCAAAGAGCTGTGTTTTAGAAAAGATCAACAAAATTGATAGACTGCTAGCAAGACTAATAAGAAAAGAGAGAAGAATCCAATGGACACAATAAGAAATGATAAAGGGGATAACACCAGCAATCCCACAGAAATACAAACTACCATCAGAGAATACTATAAACATGTCTACTCAAACTAGAAAATCCAGAAGAAATGGATAAATTCCTGGACACATACACCCTCCCAAGACTAAATCAGGAAGAAGTTGAATCCCTGAATAGACCAATAACAGGCTCTGAAACTGAGACAATAATTAATAGCCTACCAACCAAAAAAAGTCCAGGACCAGAGAGATTCACAGCCGAATGCTACCAGAGGTCCAAGGAGGAGCTGGTACCATTCCTTCTGAAACTATTCCAATCAATAGAAAGAGAGGGAATCCTCCCTAACTCATTTTATGAGGCCAGCATCATCCTGATGCCAAAGCCTGGCAGAGACACAACAAAAAAAGAGAATTTTAGACCAATATCCTTGATGAACATCAATGCAAAAATCCTCAATAAAATACTGGCAAACTGAATCCAGCAGCACATCAAAAAGCTTATCCACCATGATCAAGTGGGCTTCATCCCTGGGATGCAAGGCTGGTTCAATATACACAAATCAATAAACATAATCCAGCATATAAACAGACCCAAAGACAAAAACCACATGATTATCTCAATAGCTGCAGAAAAGGCCTTTGAAAAAATTCAACAGCCCTTCATGCTAAAAACTCTCAATAAATTAGGTATAGATGGGACATATCTCAAAATCATAAGAGTTATTCATGACAAACCCACAGCCAATATCATACTGAATGGGCAAAAACTGGAAGCATTCCCTTTGAAAACTGGCACAAGACAGGAATGCCCTCTTTCACCACCACTCCTATTCAACATAGTGTTAGAAGCTCTGGCCAGCGCAATCAGGCAGGAGAAAGAAATAAAGGGTATTCAATTAGGAGAAGAGGAATTCAAATTGCCCCTGTTTGCAGAGACATGATTGTATATCTAGAAAACCCCATCATCTCAGCCCAAAATCTCCTTAAGCCGATAAGCAAATTCAGCGAAGTCTCAGGATACAAAATCAATGTGCAAAAATCACAAGCATTCTTATGCACCAATAACAGACAAACAGAGAGTCAAATCATGAGTGAACTCCCATTCACAATGGCTTCAAACAGAATAAAATACCTAGGAATCCAACATACAAGGGTAGTGAAGGACCTCTTCGAGGAGAACTACAAACCACTGCTCAACAAAATAAAAGAGGACACAAACAAATGGAAGCACATTCCATGCCCATGAATAGGAAGAATCAATATCATGAAAATGGCCATACTGCCCAAGGTAATTTATAGATTCAATGCCATCCCCATCAAGCTACCAATGACTTTCTTCACAGAATTGGAAAAAACTACTTGAAAGTTCATATGGAACCAAAAAAGAGCCCGCATTGCCAAGTCAATCCTAAGCCAAAAGAACAAAGCTGGAGGCATCACGCTACCTGACTTCAAACTCTACTACAAGCCTACAGTAACCAAAACAGCACGGTACTGGTACCGAAACAGAGATATAGACCAACGGAACAGAACAGAGCCCTCAGAAATAATACTACACATCTACAACCATCTGATCTTTGACAAACCTGACAAAAACAAGAAATGGGGAACGGATTCTCTATTTAACAAATGGTGCTGGAAAAACTGGCTAGCCATATGTAGAAAGCTGAAACTGGATCCCTTCCTTACACCTTATACAAAAATCAATTCAAGATGGATTCAAAACTTAAATGTTAGACCTAAAATCATAAAAACCCTAGACGAAAACCTAGGCAATACCATTCAGGACATAGGCATGGGCAAGGACTTCATGTCTGAAACACCAAAAGCAATGGCAACAGAAGCCAAAATTGACAAATGGGATCTAATTAAACTAAAGAGCTTCTGCACAGCAAAAGAAACTACCATCAGAGTGAAAGGCAACCTACAGAATGGGAGAAAATTTTTGCAATCTACTCATCTGACAAAGGGCTAATATCCAGAATCTACAAAGAACTCAAACAAATGTACAAGAAAAAAACAACCCCATCAACAAGTAGGCAAAGGATATGAACAGACGCTTCTCAAAAGAAGACATTTATGCAGCCAACAGACACATAAAAAATGCTCACCATCACTGGCCATCAGAGAAATGCATATCAAAACCACAGTGAGATACCATCTCACGCCAGTTAGAGTGGCAATCATTAAAAAGTCAGGAAACAACAGGTGCTGGAGAGGATGTGGAGAAATAGGAACACTTTTACACTGTTGGTGGGACTGTAAACTAGTTCATCCATTGTGGAAGACAGCGTGGCGATTCCTCAAGGATCTAGAACTAGAAATACCATTTGACCCAGCCATCCCATTACTGGGTATATACCCAAAGGATTATAAATCATGCTGCTATAAAGACACATGCACATAAACAGCATGTTTATTGCGGCACTATTCACAACAGCAAAGACTTGGAACCAACCCAAATGTCCATGGATGGTAGACTGGATTAAGAAAATGTGGCACATATACACCATGGAATACTATGCAGCCATAAAAAATGATGAGTTCATGACCTTTGTAGGGACATAGATGAAGCTGGAAACCATCATTCTCAGCAAACTGTCACAAGGACAAAAAACCAAACACCGCATGTTCTCATTCATAGGTGGGAATTGAACAATGAGAACCCTTGGACACAGGAAGGGGAACATCACACACCGGGGCCTGTTGTGGGGTGGGGGGATGGGGAGGGATAGCATTAGGAGATATACCTAACGTAAATGATGATTTAATGGGTGCGGCACACCAACATGGCACATGTATACATATGTAGCAAATCTGCACGTTGTGAACATGTACTCTAGAACTTAAAGTATAATAATAATTTAAAAAATCCAAAAACATAATGTATGCAGGCGAGGTTGTTGAGAAAAAGGGGCGCTTATACACTGTTGGTGGGAGTGTAAATTAGTTCAACTGTCATGGAAGGCAGTGTGGCAATTCCTCCGAGATCTAAAGACAAAAATATCATTCAACTGAGCAATCTCATTACTGGATATATACCCAGAAGAATATAAATCATTCTATCATAAAGACACATGCACTTGGATGTTCATTGTAGTACTATTCACAACAGCAAAGATGAGGAATCAACCTGTATGCCCATCCATGATAGACTGGATAAAGAAAATGTGGTGCATATACACAATAGAATATTATGCAGCCATAAAAAAGAATGAGATCATGTCCTTTGCAGGGACATGGATGGAGCTGGAGGCTATTATCTATAGTAAACTAATGCAGAAACAGAAAACCAAATACCACGTGTTTTCGCTTATTAGTGGGAGCTAAATGATGAGAACACATGGACACATAGAGAAGAACCACACACACTTGGGCTTATCAGAGGATGGAGGGTGGAAGGAGGGAGAAGATCAGAAAACATAACTAATGGGTACTAGGCTTAATAGCTGGGTGATTAAGTAATCTGTACAACAAACCCCCATGACGCAAGTTTACCTAAGTAACAAACCTACCTATGTACTCCTGAACTTAAAAGTTATTAAAAAATGGCCGAAATCCAGAACATTGAAAATACCAAATTCTGTTGACATTGTAGAACAACAGGAACTCTCATCCACCACTGGTGGGAATACAAAATAGTACAGCTGCAATGAAAGACAGTTTGAGAGTTCCTACAAAACTAAACATAACTAAACATCTTATTACATGATTCAGCCATTGTGTTCCTTGGTATTTATTTACCCAAAAAAGTTGAAAATTTTGGTCAACTAATCACAAAGAAAGCTATAAGCTATCAGCAGCTTTATTCATAATTGCCAAAACTTGGAAACAACCAAGAAGTCTTTCAGTAGGTGAATGAATAAGCTGTGATACATCCAAACACTGGAATATTATTTATTGCTAAAAAAATGAACTATCAAACCATAGAAAGACATGGAGGAATATTAAATGTATCTTACTAAGTAAAAGCCATCTGAAAAGGCAACATGCTTTATTATTCCAACCATATGACATTCTGGAAAAGGCAAAACCATGGAGACAGTAGAAAAATCAGTGGTGCCAGGGGTTAGAGAATAAGAAGGGATGAATAGGCAGAACATAGAGAACTTTTAGGACAGTGAAACTACTCTGTATGATACTGTAATGGTGGATACATAACATTACACATTTGTCCAAACCCACAGAATGTGTAACACCAAGAGTGAACCCTCGTGTAAACTAGGGACTTTGGGTGATAATGATGTGTCAATGTAGGTCCATTGATTGTAATGAATGCACCACTATGCTGGGGGGAGGGAATAGTATGATGATGATAAAAGAAGTTATAACACTGGGAGAGAGGGGTGGCCAGGGAGTACATGGGAAATCTCTGTACCTTTTAATTTTTCTGTGAACCAAAAGCTACTCAAAAAAATAAAATCTACTTTAAAAAAATACATATGTGCATATCTACCATGGTTTGCACATTTCTACCAAGGTGCCAATAAAATTTATAACTTTTAGATTAAAACAGAGAAGGGAAAGCCCACAATATTTCTAGCTGGCAATTTGTGAAAAATAAAAAATTAGATAATTACCATGTCTAATTTAAGATAGGTATAATAAAATCGATATTTTCTTAATTAAATATGCTGTTATTACTTTTGCATTTTAGTGAGCAACAAATAAAATTATTTGATTTCTTCATTACCATTATTTGATTTATGACCATTCTGGTTGTTTAATGCTGTGTAACAAATCACCCCTAGACTTAGTGGTTTTAAAACATCAACAATCACGTTACTGTCTCAATTTCAGGGATAAGAAATTTCAAAGAGACTAAACTGGGTAGCTCTGACTCATGGTCTCTCATGAAGCTGCTGTCAGACAATGGTTGGAGCTGGAACAGGAGCAAGTTGCAACTTCTAGGGGCTGGCCAAACCTCTTTCCTCTCATCTACATTTTGTCTGTTCTGCTCAGTTAGTCCCTGTTTCTGACCATTGCCTGTTAAAATGCAAGCTATTTAATATCAGTTATATTAAATGATATGACCTTTGAGTGAACAACATTGACCTTCTGGTCTGAAGAGTTTTCCCACTGCACAAGTGACTTCTTTGCCCCCACATAAAGGACCTGAAATTGAAGACATTTCATTATATCACTCAGCTCAAACATCTCAATGGAGTCACGTGTTCATTATCATGGTTTAGAGGGGGAAATTGTGGCTACTTAATATTAACAGGCTGTAAGTACAATCTTGAGGACTGTGAAATTTTCCATGATCTTGGTCTGACTTCTGCTTAAGGAAATACACAACATCAACATGCAAATACAAACATTTACAACCACACTAGGTCATCAAGACAAAATTTTGGGTTTTTTTTTCCTAATCAGTCTTATTTAAAAAGCTGACCAGAGTTTCAGGTTATATTATACATATATATGTATATATGTGTGTGTACATATATGTGTAAGTGTGTGTACATATAGGTATATATGTGTGTATATATATACACACACACACATATATATAAAAATGTATACACATTATAGAGTATGCATTTAAAATGAAGATTCTTGCCTTGACTTTTTATTAGCACACATTTCTTTTCCTGGTTAATAACCTAATGCAGTTGATCAGAAGCAGATCTGCCTATGCATTTAATTTAAAGGATAACTAAAGTCTTCTATGACCCTGACTTTCTCTCCCACTCTCTAAGTAGTTAGAATCAGAGGAACTGGCATTTTGAGTAAACTTTATCTCTTACAAGTTATCTGAGTCTAAAATACTCTTGGCTCATACTCAAATTCTTCAGCTCATATGGTCTACAATGTTGTGTAGTTTGGCCTCTGATCTCAGTATTATCAAACAGAAGACACTGATCAATCTTAATAGTTGTAATTACATAAAAATACATTATTACCAGCTTCTCTTAGCCTTCTGTCCATTTTGTTAATCACAGCACCAGTTTATTCATTTGTCTATAGTCTCTGCCCAAACACCAGGTACACTAGACCAGGTACACTTGGGTTACACCCAAGGTACACTAAAACAAATTTTTAAGAAAAAAGAAAGAAAAGAAAAATGGTAACGTTTCTGTCTGGGAATGGAGAAGAAAACTTATCAGAAGGCAGGTAAGATCAATATGTTCAGCCCATGATCTGACTGAGTCATTATTCATTTCTTCAGCAAGCATTACTCAGTATAAATCACATCCCATGTGAAAGACACGTTCTATATGTACCCATCATGTTTTTTAAGCAAGTGCAAAGATGTTATTTCCTCCATTCAGGATAGATGAGAGATGAGACAAGCTTTGGACCTTGATTGTCTTTCAGGAAGTCCTGAAAGAAGAACTCAGAGCAAAATTTGACTTCAAAAAAAATAGCCTTCTCTCAGTTGGGTAATCTTTTGTATTTCTAAATATCGCCATAGTTTTCCATTATCTTTCTTAATAATCTACAATACTATTTACTTATGTCAAGGAAATTGCTCAGGGCACTTGTTTAGAAGGCTTATAGTATACTTGAGCCTTCAAGAGCTTCAATTAAAGTGGTAATTATATTTATTCCTAGATAAAGCCAAGCTCCCTAACTGTGCCAATTTGTATATAAAAATGTGTATACATGTGTCTGTTCACACGCACAAATTTTTATCTGTGTTTCCAATCCTTAACAAGTTTCAATATGAAATTTGTTTATTGATCCTCACAAAGGAATTGAGAAGAATTAAAAGCAATTGTATACCCTTACCCTAGAAATTAAGGCATATCTACATTTATCTAACTAGGTAATATACAAATCAAGGTTATGTCGTAGAAGCAGAACTGCTACAAATTATATAGACTGTGCAGTTTAGTATAGTTTCAACTGTATGTGATTTTGGGAGCTACTGAAGCATCTACACAAGCTGTTGTTTCTGTTGTCTACTTTGATTCTGACTGGTCAGCCAGACTGGCAGTCAGGAAGGAAAACTGGATATGGATAAGAGCAAGGACCATCTTGAACCTACAAAGATGGACGAAGACACATAGGTCAACTGAAACCTATAAGGACAAACTGGAACTTGTATCTGTCTCTGAACATATTCAGCCTCAATAATATGGATCTTCAGGAGTCAGTGGCTTTGACATGTAGTTGCATATACACTAGCGCATGAGCTAGATTGGTGCCCTGCACAAGCCTTCAGAGTTGCTTCATTTCTGTCTTTCAAATATTGTACAAAATATTTTCCATGGCCTATACAAAACCAGATTTATGCAAGAAAGTGTGATCTAGAGAACATACTTAAGCTTAGATAAGTTGGCCTAGTACAGAGCCACCACAGAGAGATATATAGTAGAATCCAATTCTCCTAAGTCTTTTCTCATTCCATTTGCCAAGGTTAATGTCCAACAATGGACTGACGTACAGTATTGGCCACAGAAGCAGAGCCTAGCAGGCAGACCACAAGAAATAAAAAAAATTGAATTCAGTTGGGGTGGGATAACTTCTATAGTGGTATGACAAAGTCAACCACCCTTGCTCAACAAGTAGGAAGAAAGAGTCTTGTATTCTGGTTTATGCGCCAGGCATATTTCAGTAGAATATTAATCCTTGCTTTGACCCTCACTGCCTTTCATTGTTTATTCCATTAGTTCAATAAACTGCTCTCTTCAGGCAGTTCTTAGAAAGTAAATTACAAAAATAGTTGTGATGAGTAATTATCTAAATGTTATCATTTGCTTTGCTTCAGAGAAATTAATTATATCCTGTATTGAGCTATTGGATTCCTGACCATATGGAAAACCAGTGTGTGGCCAGGGAATAAGATGCTATTAAATATGCCTTACTCCCTTTGATCTCCTACATTTAGGATTTGTCTACCTAATTAGCAAGACAATAGAGAACAAATCTAAGTCATGAGGAAACAGTGCATTATAAAATATTCTCATTTCTCCAGATTTCTTATTTTGCTCATTTCTGATTTAACATTTTTCCTAAATTTTCTCCATCTCCTAATTATCGGGGACCTGGGCCTTAGGAACCATGGCCAAGCCTAAATGTTGTGCATGACATTGCTGCCTATTTGCACTATGTGGAGCCTGGAGGAACTACACAACACGACATGTCCTGGAGGAAAAGGAAAACAGAGTCAAGTAGTTCTTCTACATGATTCCAAGGGGCTAGAGAGAAAGTGAAAATTCAGGTTTACAGAAATAAGGTAAACACAGGAGGGTGAGAGCAGATGAAGAGATGGGGATAATGGCAGAAGTAAAGCGCACATCTCAAAATCTTCCAAGCAGGCTTCATCTTCATGTATGGACAAGGAGAGCCCCTGTACCACGAACTTCTAGAAGAACTATGTAGGCTCAATAGGAAAAAAATTAGACTCAAACCCTGGAGAGACCTAGGTCTACAACAAATGCACATGATGGCAGTTATTACACCGAGCCTGAGGTTTAAAGTAGACAAAGAATCAGAGCCAAATCTTGTAGGGAATGTAAAAGCAGAGTCCAAGCCTTGGCGCTTCCTCCAGTGTACACTGAAGCTTTTAGTCCTCTACCCTATGTACGCACTGTGACCACACATAGGCCACTCTTCCCTACTGCTATAATACTAACATTGAGTTGTTAAAACCTTACAGTACTTGATCAGTACCAAAATGTGATCGTTTTAGTATTTTTCCACCATGTCTAGTGCTACATAATAAGCAAACAACTCAGGAAGACTATTATGCAGGAGATATTTTTCTGGTTAGTCATCACAGTGTTCAGGTTTACTGGTGGACTAGCAGTGGAGCAGCTGATGTGAATGAGGGATGCTCAGCACCTGAGCTTGGAGCTGGGGCAATATTTGCTTTTAGAATAGTGGCTGCTACTCCCCACCCAAAGCCCCAGAACAGGCCTATATTTTTCCTCTTTGATCAGCTTTTCTCCCCTCCCTGAACAAACAAGGACAAGTATGGAAAACTGGAGGATTATATCAGATCCTCTAGAGAATCTCAGGAGATTTAGGAGAAAATACAGAAAATAACACAGTATTCTAAAAACAAATAAACACACGCCCTTTCTTCTGAGGAAAGAAAAAGTTAAATTTACCCTAAAGTCACCCAAACATGTGGTGAGGATTTCATCTCATTCACTGCTAGAATTCACACATGGCTGAACGGGCAGGTGGACTGACCAAGGTCCATTTGCAAGGAGATTGAAAACTTAAGGAAACTCATCCCAAGAGAGAAAGATAAGCTGACCCAGATTCGATTTTTTAATTGCCGGAGAGGGCAGTGATAGGTTCAGTGTGATGGATAGTATTTGAATTTTCCCTGTTTCCTTTATAGCATTTTGCCTACTTTGCAGGGAGAGAGAAGGACATAATTAAACATTGAAAAGGCTGTTTCAATAAATTCCATAATGGTTTAGGACCCCTATATCTCCACTGAGACACAGAAGGGCTTGAAATGCTGACATCTCTTTTTATCACAGATACCCTTGAAAATGTAGCATCATGTATTCTTCAGCTTTCCAGTGACAGTAACAAGTAGAAGGTGACACCCACAAGAGTCATGGCAAGTCTACTAGAAACAGACTTATTGGTGAATACCTGGAAATTCTCCCTGGGGATACCCCAAAACACTTAATTTTGAGAAGGGCCTCAAATATTGAAATACTTTGAAATATTTGAAACATTTAAAATATTTTCAAAGGGCCTGGGTATCTTGCATCAGAAAGTATGAGCAAGATCCAATTAAATTTGAGTTATTGTGTGACCATTTACCTACCCAGATATTAATGAGGTTTGGGGAATTTGGGTTAATAAAAATAATTGGGAACCTTACTAGTTTTCTATGGCTGACATAACAATTATTATGAAAAAACTGGGTGGCTTAGAACAAACTAATTTTATTATTTTACCTTTTTGGAGGCTAGTTCAAAATCAAGGTATCAGCAGGGTTGGTTCCTTCTAGAGGCCCTGAGGGAGAATCTGATGGAGGCATCTTCTCTAGTTTCTGGTGGGTGCTCTAGTCTCTGTCTATGTCTCCACATGACATTTTCCTCTGTCCTCTTCTATTATAAGGATACCAGTCATTGGATTAAGGGCCCACCCTAAGTCAGTATGACCTCATGCTAACTAATTACATCTACAAAAACCCTATTTCCTAATAAGTTCACATTCTGATGTTCCAGTGAACATGAATTTTGAGAGGACACTAGATAACCCAATATAGGAACAGATCTATTAGGTTTTTCTTGTAATTACTTTTTAATAGCCTATTTTTCATAAATGAAAAGATAACACTTGCTGTATTGTTGACATATGCAAAACAATGTTGAATTTGGAGTCAGTTATCTATGTATTATGGATAATGTATTTTGTAACATAATGGACAAGATATGTTGTGCATTATGGACAAAATGTCTTGTAAGATTCAATGACTTTTATCTTAAAGTTTGTCAGAATATTTATACTTTTAAAATTTCTGACTTGAACAGCAACCCTGAATCATCCAAGGGAACAAATGTCTGTTTCAAGTCACAGTTGAAACAAAACCTGCGTAAGTCCTCTTCGTAATTCATCTATAAAATGGATTATAGGAAATTCTACTTTTGATTAATTATTCCAAATGGCATTCCCCTGGGTGTTCATTAAGAGTTCTAGAACTTAATTTATGTAGCATTCCATTCTTATGCTTAGTTTAGGATGGCTCGTGATAATTTATTAAAAAATAAAAAATTAAGGTCATATCAGACTTCAGAAGAAGGGTCTAGAGAAGCTGCCCCAATCAACAGTTTCAAAGAATGTGGCTAGGAACAGCCAACCATGACAAGACCAGATAAAAGATAAAAGAGAGTCTGAGATTCTAAAACATCCACTTTCAGTTGGCTTAGTTTTTCTTTTATCCAATACAGGATAAAAAGGAGAAATCTGTATACAAGTAATTTATACTTCTGGTACTTTTTTAAATCATCTTGTAATCTCTAGCTCTAAAGGAAATGGCAAGAGCCCAAAGCCATCATTGCTAGCATTCCCATTTGAAGTATGAATAACCTGTTCCACTTTCATCTCCTTGAGCTACTTTGCATTATTCACATCTTTGCTTCATACTACTTTCTATCAATTTTCTTTTGCATAATTTATCAGGAACTAAAATTAGCTGGGTTATTGGCAAATGAGATGTTGCTAGTTTTGTGTAACTATGTCTTAAATTTTTTTCTCTAGCACAGCTTATAAACTCTCCAGTTAACATAAAAACCATATGAAGAAGGAAAAAGCCTTTAAATAAATGAGAACTGATGAGGTAATTTGGGATGCCATAAATACACGTTTTTGCTTTTTCAAACACGGTCACCACTTTTGTTTTATATTTAGTTCTAAAGGTTTCACCTCCCTTAATTGACTGAAATCTTTGAGGCCAACAGTTGAGGCTTATTTAAATTTGGGGTCAGGTTTTGGCATTGTGCATAACATAGAAGAGCAGCATTTGAGGAGCGTTTGTTGACTCGATTGGGAAGTCATGTTAAGACCATATACTATTTTTACAGACAGGATGCCTTCTTTTTGCCCCAAAAAAGGAAGTTTGGGTTATTTTCTAGGCTTCTTCAGGGGAGCAATGGTGGAACATAAGCTCTGAGGAAGCTTTTTTTCTTTTTTCCCTGAGGTCCTCTTTGGTAGTGAACCACTCCCATTAGGTGGGCCTGCCCTTTAAGAGCTCAGAAATCTGTTCTACAATGTCAAAGAAAGCTGATAAAGTAAATAGAGGGTTTATAATCCATCATTCTAATTCTACGTGGAGCTTTGAAGTGATTGTAAATAAAGTTAATCTTATTTCTACTGTACTTAGCTTGTGTCATTGCCATAGTTATTGTATATTTAAGTGCATTATAACTAAAAAAGTCTAGTTGCTTGCAATCATTTAAACAATTACCAGTTGACCATTGTATCACAAGTTTAAATATAAATGGATAGGAATATGAATTTGCTACACAGGAAACAAAACTTTATGCTGGTAATTTCCTCTAGCAGCTACTTTTATGCCTGAAACCTGGAATAGACAACTCATTTTCTAGCATTCAAAACAAAATATCTAAGAGGAAGAACTCCTATAAACAGTATTCTTCCATTACTGACAAGAAAAACCACTGCCTTTATTCGTGATGAAAACCAAAGTCACCAGAGGGAGAAGTTGATGCTCCTGGCAGGTGAAGGAAATGTCAGTTTTAGAACTTAGTGAAGGATAGGGAGGAGCCAAGATGGCCGAATAGGAACAGCTCCGGTCTACAGCTCCCAGCGTGAGCGACGCAGAAGACGGGTGACTTCTGCATTTCCATCTGAGGTACCGGGTTCATCTCACTAGGGAGTGCCAGACAGTGGGCGCAGGCCAGTGTGTGTGCGCACCGTGCGCGAGCCGAAGCAGGGCGAGGCACTGCCTCACCTGGGAAGCGCAAGGGGTCAGGGAGTTCCCTTTCCGAGTCAAAGAAAGGGGTGACGGACGCACCTGGAAAATCGGGTCACTCCCACCCGAATATTGCGCTTTTCAGACCGGCTTAAGAAACGGCGCACCACGAGACTATATCCCACACCTGGCTCAGAGGGTCCTACGCCCACGGAATCTCGCTGCAATCAAACTGCAAGGCGGCAGCGAGGCTGGGGGAGGGGCGCCCGCCATTGCCCAGGCTTGCTTAGGTAAACAAAGCAGCCGGGAAGCTCGAACTGGGTGGAGCCCACCACAGCTCAAGGAGGCCTGCCTGCCTCTGTAGGCTCCACCTCTGGGGGCAGGGCACAGACAAACAAAAAGACAGCAGTAACCTCTGCAGACTTAAGTGTCCCTGTCTGACAGCTTTGAAGAGAGCAGTGGTTCTCCCAGCACGCAGCTGGAGATCTGAGAACGGGCAGACTGCCTCAAGTGGGTCCCTGACCCCTGACCCCCGAGCAGCCTAACTGGGAGGCACCCCCCAGCAGGGGCACACTGACACCTCACACGGCAGGGTATTCCAACAGACCTGCAGCTGAGGTTCCTGTCTGTTAGAAGGAAAACTAACAACCAGAAAGGACATCTACACCGAAAACCCATCTGTACATCACCATCATCAAAGACCAAAAGTAGATAAAACCACAAAGATGGGGAAAAAACAGAACAGAAAAACTGGAAACTCTAAAATGCAGAGCGCCTCTCCTCCTCCAAAGGAACGCAGTTCCTCACCAGCAACAGAACAAAGCTGGATGGAGAATGATTTTGACGAGCTGAGAGAAGAAGGCTTCAGACGATCAAATTACTCTGAGCTACGGGAGGACATTCAAACCAAAGGCAAAGAAGTTGAAAACTTTGAAAAAAATTTAGAAGAATGTATAACTAGAATAACCAATACAGAGAAGTGCTTAAAGGAGCTGATGGAGCTGAAAACCAAGGCTCGAGAACTACGTGAAGAATGCAGAAGCCTCAGGAGCTGATGCGATCAACTGGAAGAAAGGGTATCAGCAATGGAAGATGAAATGAATGAAATGAAGCGAGAAGGGAAGTTTAGAGAGAAAAGAATAAAAAGAAATGAGCAAAGCCTCCAAGAAATATGGGACTATGTGAAAAGACCAAATCTACGTCTGATTGGTGTACCTGAAAGTGATGTGGAGAATGGAACCAAGTTGGAAAACACTCTGCAGGATATTATCCAGGAGAACTCCCCCAATCTAGCAAGGCAGGCCAACGTTCAGATTCAGGAAATACAGAGAACGCCACAAAGATACTCCTCGAGAAGAGCAACTCCAAGACACATAATTGTCAGATTCACCAAAGTTGAAATGAAGGAAAAAATGTTAAGGGCAGCCAGAGAGAAAGGTCGGGTTACCCTCAAAGGAAAGCCCATCAGACTAACAGCGGATCTCTCGGCAGAAACCCTACAAGCCAGAAGAGAGTGGGGGCCCATATTCAACATTCTTAAAGAAAAGAATTTTCAACCCAGAATTTCATATCCAGCCAAACTAAGCTTCATAAGTGAAGGAGAAATAAAATACTTTATAGACAAGCAAATGCTGAGAGATTTTGTCACCACCAGGCCTGCCCTAAAAGAGCTCCTGAAGGAAGCACTAAACATGGAAAGGAACAACCGGTACCAGCCGCTGCAAAATCATGCCAAAATGTAAAGACCATCGAGACTAGGAAGAAACTGCATCAACTAATGAGCAAAATCACCAGCTAACATCATAATGACAGGATCAAATTCACACATAACAATATTAACTTTAAATATAAATGGACTAAATTCTGCAATTAAAAGACACAGACTGGCAAGTTGAATAAAGAGTCAAGACCCATCAGTGTGCTGTATTCAGGAAACCCATCTCACGTGCAGAGACACACATAGGCTCAAAATAAAAGGATGGAGGAAGATCTACCAAGCACATGGAAAACAAAAAAAGGCAGGGCTTGCAATCCTAGTCTCTGATAAAACAGACTTTAAACCAACAAAGATCAAAAGAGACAAAGAAGGCCATTACATAATGGTAAAGGGATCAATTCAACAAGAGGAGCTAACTATCCTAAATATTTATGCACCCAATACAGGAGCACCCAGATTCATAAAGCAAGTCCTGAGTGACCTACAAAGAGACTTAGACTCCCACACATTAATAATGGGAGACTTTAACACCCCACTGTCAACATTAGACAGATCAACGAGACAGAAAGTCAACAAGGATACCCAGGAATTGAACTCAGCTCTGCACCAAGCAGACCTAATAGACATCTACAGAACTCTCCACCCCAAATCAACAGAATATACATTTTTTTCAGCACCACACCACACCTATTCCAAAATTGACCACATAGTTGGAAGTAAAGCTCTCCTCAGCAAATGTAAAAGAACAGAAATTATAACAAACTATCTCTCAGACCACAGTGCAATCAAACTAGAACTCAGGATTAAGAATCTCACTCAAAGCCGCTCAACTACATGGAAACTGAACAACCTGCTCCTGAATGACTACTGGGTACATAACAAAATGAAGGCAGAAATAAAGATGTTCTTTGAAATCAACGAGAACAAAGACACCACATACCAGAATCTCTGGGACGCATTCAAAGCAGTGTGTAGAGGGAAATTTATAGCACTCAATGCCTACAAGAGACAGCAGGAAAGATCCAAAATTGACACCCTAAGATCACAATTAAAAGAACTAGAAAAGCAAGAGCAAACACATTCAAAAGCTAGCAGAAGGCAAGAAATAACTAAAATCAGAGCAGAACTGAAGGAAATAGAGACACAAAAAACCCTTCAAAAAATCAATGAATCCAGGAGCTGGTTTTTTGAAAGGATCAACAAAATTGATAGACCGCTAGCAAGACTAATAAAGAAAAAAAGAGAGAAGAATCAAATAGACACAATAAAAAATGATAAAGGGGATTTCACCACCGATCCCACAGAAATACAAACTACCATCAGAGAATACTACAAACACCTCTACGCAAATAAACTAGAAAATCTAGAAGAAATGGATACATTCCTCGACACATACACTCTCCCAAGACTAAACCAGGAAGAAGTTGAATCTCTGAATAGACCAATAACAGGCTCTGAAATTGTGGCAATAATCAATAGTTTACCAACCAAAAAGAGTCCAGGACCAGATGGATTCACAGCCGAATTCTACCAGAGGTACAAGGAGGAACTGGTACCATTCCTTCTGAAACTATTCCAATCAATAGAAAAAGAGGGAATCCTCCCTAACTCATTTTATGAGGCCAGCATCATTCTGATACCAAAGCCGGGCAGAGACACAACCAAAAAAGAGAATTTTAGACCAATATCCTTGATGAACATTGATGCAAAAATCCTCAATAAAATACTGGCAAACCGAATCCAGCAGCACATCAAAAAGCTTATCCACCATGATCAAGTGGGCTTCATCCCTGGGATGCAAGGCTGGTTCAATATACGCAAATCAATAAATGTAATCCAGCATATAAACAGAGCCAAAGACAAAAACCACATGATTATCTCAATAGATGCAGAAAAAGCCTTTGACAAAATTCAACAACCCTTCATGCTAAAAACTCTCAATAAATTAGGTATTGATGGGACGTATTTCAAAATAATAAGAGCTATCTATGACAAACCCACAGCCAATATCATACTGAATGGGCAAAAACTGGAAGCATTCCCTTTGAAAACTGGCACAAGACAGGGATGCCCTCTCTCACCACTCCTATTCAACATAGTGTTGGAGGTTCTGGCCAGGGCAATCAGGCAGGAGAAGGAAATAAAGGGTATTCAATTAGGAAAAGAGGAAGTCAAATTGTCCCTGTTTGCAGATGACATGATTGTTTATCTAGAAAACCCCATCGTCTCAGCCCAAAATCTCCTTAAGCTGATAAGCAACTTCAGCAAAGTCTCAGGATACAAAATCAATGTACAAAAATCACAAGCATTCTTATACACCAACAACAGACAGAGAGCCAAATCATGAGTGAACTCCCATTCACAATTGCTTCAAAGAGAATAAAATACCTAGGAATCCAACTTACAAGGGACATGAAGGACCTCTTCAAGGAGAACTACAAACCACTGCTCAAGGAAATAAAAGAGGACACAAACAAATGGAAGAACATTCCATGCTCATGGGTAGGAAGAATCAATATCATGAAAATGGCCATACTGCCCAAGGTAATTTACAGATTCAATGCCATCCCCATCAAGCTACCAATGACTTTCTTCACAGAATTGGAAAAAACTACTTGAAAGTTCATATGGAACCAAAAAAGAGCCCGCATCGCCAAGTCAATCCTAAGCCAAAAGAACAAAGCTGGAGGCATCACACTACCTGACTTCAAACTATACTACAAGGCTACAGTAACCAAAACAGCATGGTACTGGTACCAAAACAGAGATATAGATCAATGGAACAGAACACAGCCCTCAGAAATAATGCCGCATATCTACAACTATCTGATCTTTGACAAACCTGAGAAAAACAAGCAATGGGGAAAGGATTCCCTATTTAATAAATGGTGCTGGGAAAACTGGCTAGCCATATGTAGAAAGCTGAAACTGGATCCCTTCCTTACACCTTATACAAAAATCAATTCAAGATGGATTAAAGATTTAAACGTTAGACCTAAAACCATAAAAACCCTAGAAGAAAACCTAGGCAATACCATTCAGGACATAGGCGTGGGCAAGGACTTCATGTCCAAAACACCAAAACCAATGGCAACAAAAGCCAAAATTGACAAATGGGATCTAATTAAACTCAAGAGCTTCTGCACAGCAAAAGAAACTACCATCAGAGTGAACAGGCAACCTACAACATGGGAGAAAATTTTCACAACCTACTCATCTGACAAAGGGCTAATATCCAGAATCTACAATGAACTCAAACAAATTTACAAGAAAAAAACAAACAACCCCATCAAAAAGTGGGCGAAGGACATGAACAGACACTTCTCAAAAGAAGACATTTATGCAGCCAAAAAACACATGAAGAAATGCTCATCATCACTGGCCATCAGAGAAATGCAAATCAAAACCACTATGAGATATCATCTCACACCAGTTAGAATGGCAATCATTAAAAAGTCAGGAAACAACAGGTGCTGGAGAGGATGTGGAGAAATAGGAACACTTTTACACTGTTGGTGGGACTGTAAACTAGTTCAACCATTGTGGAAGTCAGTGTGGCGATTCCTCAGGGATCTAGAACTAGAAATACCATTTGACCCAGCCATCCCATTACTGGGTATATACCCAAAGGACTATAAATCATGCTGCTATAAAGACACATGCACACGTATGTTTATTGCGGCACTATTCACAATAGCAAAGACTTGGAACCAACCCAAATGTCCAACAATGATAGACTGGATTAAGAAAATGTGGCACATATACACCATGGAATACTATGCAGCCATAAAAAATGATGAGTTCATGTCCTTTGTAGGGACATGGATGAAATTGGAAACCATCATTCTCAGTAAACTATCGCAAGAACAAAAAACCAAACACCGCATATTCTCACTCATAGGTGGGAATTGAACAATGAGATCACATGGACACAGGAAGGGGAATATCACACTCTGGGGACTGTGGTGGGGTCGGGGGAGGGGGGAGGGATAGCATTGGGAGATATACCTAATGCTAGATGACACGTTAGTGGGTGCAGCGCACCAGCATGGCACATGTATACATATGTAACTAACCTGCACAATGTGCACATGTACCCTAAAACTTAGAGTATAATAAAAAAAAAAAAATTAAAAAAAAAAAAAAAAAAAAAAAGAACTTAGTGAAGCCTGGTTTTCACATCTTTCTTTCACAGCCTCGGGCACTTTCTAAAGCAGGCTTAGGGCCAGACCACAGTCTTGATATGAAATCAGCTCCTCTAGTTTAGATCCCTCTGAGAAAGGATGCTCTATCATAAAAAGTTTATTTTTGTATATTAAAAATAAAATATTGTATTTAAGAATGCTCTAGAATTTACAATATTCCTGAAGGTCCTAGAGATGATGGCATTTAAAGCCCATTGCGCAGTACATTGCCGCTAACGTACACATTCAAATAAACTTCATATATTACAAAATTGCTTCTCTCAAAGGCAAAATAATAGCTGTACGTACAATCTAATACTTTATTATTCATGATCTAGCAGGTGATTGTGGTTCAGCATGCTAACCATAACGTAACAATTATAATAGATTATAGCAGTTTCCATTATAATTATTAGCAGTATTATAATGTTAGCAATGTTCTAACAGTTCAAATTAAGCTTATATTTGTAAAAGCAGTATACTTCATGAGAACATGGAATTAACTAGAACTGCCATGGTTAATGGGAATATGATGGAAGGCTGAACTTCAATATCATCTAATGCAGTATTATTACCATTAATGAAATCTAGTTCTATGCAAGAACAAATAAATGCAAAACAAGACAAACAGAAAAACCTCAGGGACAGGCCATACTTCTCTTTAACTTGCCAGTAGCACATCTAGAGGGCAAATTTTGCCAATAGGTTACTTAGAGGATAAAACTGTGTTCCATGTACCACAATTTCATAGTTATTATGATTATGTACTAAAAACTCAGTTTTTGACTTGAACTAGAGGGAAATGTATATAACCATAGTGACTAATGTAAGGAAGTAGACCATCCTTGAAATATTTACCACAGCTTTTATAATGTGGTATTTACTCTTAATTGACATCATGACAATGAATCTTTGCATTGATGTCCTAAAGTACTGACAAAATCTGCTGAATTATATGTAAGGGAGAGGTCAAGGTGCTGTTTATCATAACAAATGATAATTAGAAACAGATTCTTTAAAAACATTGAGGAATCCCAGAACTAAAATGCTCTTTGGGAAATTACCTAGCCCATCTCAAAGCATAAGGTAGTATCATAGCTAAGTATCTACCCTACTTTAGAAAGTGGATAGTCCAATAATTTCTTCATTATTCCAGTGAAATATTTAACAGCCCTTTGATCTAGGAAATTATTCCACCTAATCAAGAAACTGTAGGTCTCAGCAAAAATTCTTTTGTTTTCTATTGTTATACAATATAATAAAGAGAAAACTCTGGCATAAATAGAGAGTGAGCAAGGTTTGACTTTTCTACGTCCAAATGAAAATGAACACATGAAATATATTTGAAAGTGGCTCTGGAGGAAATAGCTTCTGGGGCTGGGCTCTTCCTTCTTTTGTTGAACCAACCCACCTTCAGTGTCCAGTCAATTTTCCTCCTTCAAACTTTGATCATCATTGGCAACAGAATGACCAAACTGAGTGCCCTAGGTTGGGAAAGAAGGACCATCTTTATTCAAGTACTTTTGTAAATACTTGTCTCTCTCAGCATATATCTCTTCTGGATATATTCACATTTTCTTCCTGGACAATTTTTGAGGGCATTTGATTGATTTTTTTTTCCATTACTAAAATTAGCAGCATATTCTTTTCCCCTAAACTTCCCTCCATGAGTTTAAACAGGAACTTCCAACTTGTTGTCCTAGCATTTTAATTTTTTAAATTTCAATATCTGTTTACAGTTTTTTAAAAGCAAAACCTATATTGAAATGTACACACCTTAAGTGTACAAATCTAGGAATTTTGAAAATGGCATATACCTGCATAATTCATACTCCCACCAAAATAAATAACATTTCCATTACCTCAAAAAATCCTTTCATACTCTTCCCACCTATTTTCTCCCCACCAAAGGCAACCACTTTTCTGATTTGTTTCACCACAGATTAGCTGTACCTGTCCTAGGGTTTTATATAAATGAAATCACACAGGATGTCGTCTTTATGTTTGACTTTTCCTTTAGCATAATGTCTATGAGATGTTTCCTTGTGTATTCCTTTGGAATTGAGAAGTATTCCATTGTTTGATTACATACAAATTTGATTTTACTATTGATAAATATTTATATGGTTTCTACTTGTACGGCTACTATGAACAAAGTGGCTGTAAACATTATTATACAAGTATTTACCTAGATATGTTTTTTCTTAAGTAAATGCCTAGCATGAAATTATTGGATTATAGAATAGGTATATATTTAACTTTATACCAACTGTCAAAACTATTTTCCATACTTCTTTTACCATTTTACTCTCTCACTACTAATATATAAGGGTCATAGTTGTTCTCCAGTCTTACTGAAGTTTGATACTGATGGCCTTTTTAACCTTAGCTATTCTAGTGGACTTGGAATGATGTCTCATGGCTTTCATATCAAATTTTCTGAAAACTAGTGAAGTATGTTTGCATATGCTTATGGTATCATCCTTTGTCATGTATCTATCCAAATCTTTTTTATCCCCACAACTATTTGAGAGGATTGAATATGCAAATTCTTTGTATATTATTAAAATTGGGTTGTCTTCCTATTGAGTTGTAGGAATTATTTGTTTGTTCTGAATATAAATATTATCAGATATATTCTATATAAGTATTTGTTAAGATTCTTAAAGTTGTATTTTGATGAATAGAAGTTTAAATTTTGATTAAGCATAGCTTACCTTTTTTTTTTTTCTTCTCCGGTAATTGCTTTCAGAGCTCTGCCTGAGTAATGTTTCCTAACCCCAGGCACAAGGATATTCCCCTGGTTTCTTCTATAAGCTATACATACTAGCTTTTATTTTTAGTTCTGTGATTTTTCTCAAACAAAAATTTGTGTATGGTGAAACATGGAGGTTGAGACTGTTTTGTTTTCATATGTGTTCAGTTATTCAAAACCCATTTGTTGAAAATGGTTGAATTTTCACTGTATTGTTCCATTGAATTGCTTTGGTGGCTTTATAAAAAATAAGTTGGTACAATTCAAACACCCTAGACATGATGTAACGTCAAGGAAAGGAGGACTCTGAAAGGCGGAGAAAAAGTTGGATAGCCCAGAGATCTGGAGACTTGAGAAACAACGTAATGAGTCTTTCAGTTTCCTTATTGTCATCCAAGTATCTGTGGACAGAACACTGTAGAAGTCTCCAACCCTGAAAGCCAACAGGCACAGTTAAAAAAAAAAAAAGCTTCCAGTAAAGTCTTTCTTCCAGCCAATGGGCTGGCAAAAGGGTGGTCCAGTGATAATAAACCTTTAGTATCTACCTAACTTCAGTCAAACAAAATGAAAAAAATTCACCCCTACTTCCACAGGTTTCAGGGTGGCAAAGTGGGAAGTTAACATTCCTGTCCATCGTTTAGTCCAGCAGAAGCAGGCAGTACGCTGATTCCCCTGCCAGGTAGTGGTGGTGAGCCCAAGGAGGAAGCTTATCTTCCAACGTTGCTGGGCTGAACAAGGATGTGCTCCAGTTCTCCAACCAGGGTAGTATGGGGTGGGATATTTCATCAACAGAGATTTCACTGCCACCCAGCAACAATAAACTTAACACCGCTAATGGGAGTAGGCAACATCACGCTTTCCTCCCCATCCCCCTTTGGGGGCCAGGGAGAATAACTAAGATTCTGCTCCCATTCATGATCAATGAAGGTAGGAGGTGGGAGTAATTCACACTTTGTCTCTCCCCTCCTTTTCTATGGTATCAATGGGTAAAGAGTTGAAAATACATACCCAATTAGCCCTAGTGTTACACCTCCACATGAGGACTGCCTACTAAAGACAAGAAGGTAAAATAGGATCTCACAATATCCAAAATGTCTAGAATACAGTTAAGAAAATTATTACTCATACCAAAACCCAGGAGATGATTCACCTGTTGGAATTATCTGACAAGGATGTCAAAGAAGACATCATAAACAATGCTTTAAAAAGTAATCAGAAAATCTTGTGAAATGCACTCAAAAATAAAAAATTTTGTGAAAGTAATAAAATTATAAAAAAGAACCAATGGAAACTACAAACTGAGAAGTACCAACATCATTTAAAAATTTGATGAATAGGATGGGAGTGACAAGAGATAAAATCAGTGAACATGAAGACAAATGAATTTATGCAGTATGAACAAGAGAGAGAAAATAGATTATTTTTTAAATGGGAGGAGGCAGAGCAAGATGGCAGAATAGAACCCCTTAGCTATTACCCTGCCCCGCCCCCCTCCCCCCTCCCCACCCCCACAGGAACACCAAATTGAACAACTATCCACAAAGGAAAGCACCTTCATAAGAACAAAAAATCAGGTGAGCAATCACAGTACCTCGTTTTAACATCACAGCCATGAAGAAGGTAGAAAAGACAGTCTTGAATTGGCTATACCACCCCTCCCCCAACCCCTGGCAGTGGCCACATGGCACAGGGAGAGAATTTACATGCTTCAGGGAGCAATGGCACAATGGTTACGGGACTTTGCATTGGAACTCACTGCTGCCAGGAGCAGCGGAAAGCAATGCAAGGCAGTATTGAGCCAGCACTGACAGAGGGAGAATTTAGAGTAGCCCCAGCCAGAGGAGAACTGTCGATCCCAGTGGTTGATATCTGAGTTCCATTTAGTCCCTACCACTGCAGGCTAAAGTGGTCTGGGGTTCTAAATAAACTTGAAAGGCAGTCTAGGCCACAAGGACTACAATTCCTGGGCCAGTCCTGGTTCTATGCTGGGCTCAAAGCTAGTGAACTTGGGATATACATTACCTAGTAAGACACCAGTGAGGGCAGCCAAGGGAGTGCTTACATCAACCCTTCCCCAACCCCAAACAGCACAGCTTCCAGCCCCAGGAAAGACTCCTTCCCTCTGCTTGAGGGGAAAACAGGGAAGAGTAAAGAGAGAGGACTTTGTTTTGCAACTTGAATACGTAGCAGCTCAGGCACAGTAGGATAGGGAAGTAGGCAGAGTCCTGAGGCCTCCATTCCAGGCCCTAGCTCCAAGATGACATTTTCTAAACATGCCCTGGGACAGAAGGGAACCTGCTGCCTTTAAAGGAAGTACCAGTCTGCAGGATTCCTCACCTGCTGACTAAAGAGCACTTGGGTTGCTGTAGGCCTTCAGTGAGATTCAGTGCCATGCTGGTGTGACTCAGCACATTCCCAGCTGTGATGGCCACAAGGAGAGAATCTTCCACTTGAGAAAAGGAGAGGGAAGAGTAAAGGAGATTTTGTCTTGCAGCTTAGGTACCAGCTTGGCCACAGGGAAAGAGCACCAAATAGGCTGCTGGGGTCTCTGATTCCAGGCATTGGCCCCTGGATGGCTTTTCTGGACCCACCTTGGGCCAGAAGAGGGCACACTACCTTGAACAGAGAGACCCAAGCCCAGCAGCATTTACCACAAGCTGATTGAAGAGCCCTTCACCATTGAATGAATATTGGAAGTAGCCAAGCAACACTCACCTTAGGCCTGGGGTGGTGGTGGCCACAGAGAGAGACAACTGCGGCTTCAGCAATGCAGAGGGAAGAATGAGAAGAGCTTTGTCTTATGGTTTGGGTGCTAGTTTAGCCACAGCAGAGTAGAACACCAAGTAGATTCCTAGATTCCTGACTTCAGGCCCTGGCTCCTGGATGGTATTTCTGGACCTGCCCCAAACCAGTGGGGAGCTTGCCATTGTTGAAGGAAAGACACAAGCCTGGTTGGATTCACCAACCACTGACCGAAGAGCCTTGGGTCTTGAATAAACATTAGAGATAGCCAGGCAGCGGTCACTGTGGACTGTAGGTGTGACCCACTGTTGTGCTAGCTTCAAATCTGATTCAGGGCAGATCCAGTGGTGGTGGCCACAGGGGTGCTTGTGTTACTCCTTCCCCAGCTCCAGCTCCATGTATCAATGAACATACACAGACATCAAGTCCATCCAAGAAAGCATGATCTCACCAAATGAACTAAAGCATCAGTGACCAATTCTAAGATGACAGAGATATGTAACCCTTGAGACAGAGAATTCAAAATAGTTCTATTAATAAAGCTCAAGGAAATTCACAATCACACAAAGAAGGAACTCAGAATCCTATCAGATTAATTTAACAAAGAGATTGAAATAATTTTAAAATATCAATGAGAAATTCTGAATCTGAAACATTCAATTGACATACTGAAGAATGCAGAGGCCCTCAAAATCAGAATTAAGCAGAAGAATTAGTGACTTTGAAGACAGACTACTTGAAAATACATAGATCAGACATGAGAAAAAATAAAAAAGAATGAAGCACACCTATGATATCTAGACAATAGCCTCAAAATGGCAAATTTAAGAGTTATTGGCCTTAAAGAAAAGGTAGAGAAAAAGATTAGGGTAGAAAGGCATCATCACATAGAACCTTCCAAATCTAAAAAAAAAAAAAAATCAATATTCAAGTGTCAGAAGGTGAGAGAACACCAAGCAGATTTAATTCAAACAAGACTACCTCAGACATTTAATATACCAAAAGGTCAAGGATAAAGGAAGAATCCTAAAAGCACCAAGAGTAAAGAAATAAATAACATACCAAGGAGCTTCAATACATCTGGCCGCAGATGTATAAAATACAACCAGAGGAAAATCACATTCACAAAAAGGAAGAGAGGAAGGAAGGAAAAAAAGACCATGAAACAACTGAAAAACAACAAAATATCACCTTATTAATCAATAATAACATTGAATTCAAATTGACTAAACTATCCAATCAAAAGATACAGAGTGCCTAAATGGGTGCAGGGGAAAGACTCAATCAGCTGCCTACAAGAAACATATTTCACTTATAAAGACACACGTAGACTGAAAATAAAGGAATGAAAAGATATTCCATGCAGTGGAAGCCAAAAAAGACCAGGAATAGCTATACTTGTGTCCGACAAAAATAGATTTCAAGACAAAAACTTTAGAAAGAAACAAAGTCATTATGTAATGACAAAGGGGTCAGTTCAGCAAAAGGATATAAAAATTGTAAATAGATATGTGACCAACACTGGAGTACCCAGCTATATAAAGCAAATAATATTAGACCTACATACAATAACTGGAGACTTCAACACCCCACTTTCAGCATAGGACAGATCATACAGGCAGAAAATCAACCAAGAAACAATGGACTAAATCTGCACTATAGACCAAGTAGGCCTAATAGTTACAGAACATTTTATTCAACAGCTGCAAAATACACATTCTTCTCCTCAGTACATTGATCATTCTCAAGGATAGACCATGTTAGTTCACAAAACAAGTCTTAAAATACTTGAAAAACATTGAAATCATCTCAACTATCCTCTTTGACCACAATGGAATAAAACTAGAAATCATTAACAAGAGGAATTTTGTAACCTATACAAACAAATGGAAATTAAATAATATGCTCCTGAATGACCAGTGGGTCAATGAAGACATTAAGAAGGAAATCGAAAAATTTTCCGATACAAATTAAAATAGAAACACAACATATCAAAACCTATGGGAAATAGAAAAATCAGTACTTAGAGGAAAGTTTATAGCAATAAGTGCCTACATCAGAAAATTAGGAAAACTTTAAATGGATAAGCTAATAATATATCTTAAAGGCCTAAAAAAGCAAGAGCTTGCCAAACCCAAAATTAGTAGAAGAAATAACGAAGATCAGAGCAGAAATAAATTGAAACAAAAAATACAAAAGATAAATGAAGCAAAAGGTTTTTTTTCTTTTTTTTTTTTGAAAAGGTAAACAAAACTGACAAACCTTTAGTCAGGCTAAGGAAAAGAGAGGGAAGATCCAAATAAATAAAAACAGAGATGAAAAAGGAGACATTACAACTGATACCACATAAATTCAAAGGACCATTAGTGGCTACTATGAGGAACTGTATGCCAAAAATGGGAAAATCTAGAAGAAATTGATACATTTATAGACACCTACAACCTACCAAGATTGAACCATGAAGAAATCCAAGACTTGAATAGCACAATAACAGTAATGAGATCAAAGCCTTAACAAAACATCTCCCAGCACAGAAAACTCTGGGACCTGATGGCCTCACTGCTAAATTCTATCAAACATTTAAAGAACTAATGCCAATCCTACTCAAACTATTCCAAAAAACAGAGGAAGAGGGAATACTTCCAAACTCATTCTACAAAGTCAGTATTTCCTGGATACCAAAACCAGACAAGGACAGAACAACAACAACAACAACAACAAAGTAAGAGAAAAGAAAAATCCAGGCTGATATTCCTGATGAACATTGAAGAAAAATCCTTGAAAAAAATACTAGCAAACTGAATTCAACAACACATTAAAAGGATCATTTATCATGACCAGGTGGTATTTATCACAGGGATGCAAGGATGGTTCAACATCCTGGGGCTCCATGGGGATGGATCCCTCTTGGCTTGGTGCTATACTTGTGATAGTGAGTTATTTTGAGATCTAATTGCTTAAAACTATGTGGCTCCCCACACCTCTCTGTTGCTCCTGCTCTTGCCATGTAATGTGTCTGTTCCTGCTTCACATTCTGCCATGAATAAAAGCTCCCTGAGTTCTCCACAGAAGCTGAGCAAATGCTGGCACCATGCTTACACAGCATGGTGTTAATTAAGCCTCTTTTCTTTATAAATTAACCAGTCTCAGATATTCATTCAAAGCAATGCAAGAATGGTCTAACACAGAAAGTAATCCCATTTAGCTACAAATAAAATAAAATACCTAGGAATAAACTTAATCAAAGAAGTGAAAGATCTCTGCAATAAAAACTATAAAACATTAATACAAGAAATTGAAGAGGACATGAAAAAGGAAAGTTATTCTATGCTCATGGATTACTAGAAATAATATTGTTAAAATGCTCATACTACTCAAAGCAGTCTGCAGAGATTCAATGCAAACCCTATCAAAATACCAATTACATTCTTCACAGAAATAAAAACATAATTCTAAAATTTATATGACACCACAAAAGTCCCAGAATAGCCAAAGCTATCCTGAGCAAAAAGAACAAAACTGGAGGAATCACATAACTTGACTTCAAATTATAGTAAAGCTAAGGTAACCAAAAACAGCATGGTACTAGCATGAAAGCAGACACATAGACCAATATAACAGAACAAAGAACCCAAAAACAAATTTATACATCTACAGTGAACTCATTTTCAACAAAGTTGCCAAGAACATACATTGGGTAAAGGAGAGTCTCTTCAACCAGTGGTGCTGAGAAAACTGGACATCCACAGGGAGAGATAGGAAACTAGATCCCCATCTCTTGCCATATACCAAAATCAAATCAAAATTCATTTAACACTTAAATCTAAGACCTCAATCTGTGAAAATACTAAAAGAAAACATTTGGGGGAAACTCTCCAGGACATTGATCTGCAAAAGATTTCTTCAGTAATACTCCACAAGCATAAGCAAAAGCAAAAAATGGACAAACAGGATCACAAAAAGTTAGAAACCTTCTGCACAGTGAAGAAAACAATCAACAAAGTGAAAAGACAACTCATAGAATGGCAGAAAATATTTACAAACTATCCAACTGACAAGAGACTAATCCAGAATATATAGGGAGCTCAAACTTAAAAATTTCTGACAATCCAATTTAAAAATGGCAAAAGATCTGAACAGACATTTCTCAAAAGCCAACATACAAATGGCAAACTGGTTTATGAAAAAAGGTGCTCAACATCACTGATCAGAGAAATGCAAATCAAAGCTACAATGATATATTATCTCACCCCGGTTTAAATAGCTTTTATCCAAAAGACTGGCAATAACAAATGCTGGCGAACATGTGGAGAAAAGGAACCCCAGTATACTGTGGGTGGGAATGTAATTAGTACAACCACTATGGAGAACAGTTTGGAGGTTTCTCAAAAAACTAAAGAAAGAGCTACTGTATGATCCAGAAATCCCACCAGTGGTTATATACCTAAAAGAGAGAAAATCAGTGCATTGGACCATATCTGCACTTTCATGTTGTTGCAGCACTGTTTACAATAGCTAAGATTTGGAGGCAACCTAAGTGTTCATCGACAGATAAATATAGCACTGTTCACAATAGCAAAGATATGGGATCAACCTAAATGCCCATCAATGATGGACTGGATAAAGAAAATGTGGTACATATACACCATGGAATACTATGCAGCCATAAAAAAGAATGAGATCATGTCCCTTGTAGAAACATGGATGAATCTGGAGTCCATTATCCTTAGCAAACTAAAACAGGAACAGAAAACCAAACACCCCATGTTCTCACTTATAAATGGGAGCTAAATGATGACAACACTTGGGCACATAGAGGGGAACAACACACACTGGGACCTTTTGGAGAGTGGATGGTGGCAGGAGGGAGAGGATCAGGAAAAATAACTAATGGGTACTAGGCTTAATACCTGGGTGATAAAATAATCTGTACAACAAACCCCCATGACACAAGTTTACCTATGAAACAAACCTGCACTTGTACCCCTGAACTTAAAAGTTAAAAAAAGTGCATATATACAATGAACAACTATTCAGCCAAAAAAAATGAATGAGATCCTGTCATTTCCAATAGCATGAAAGGAACTGAAAGACATTAAGTGAAGTAAGTCAGGCACAGAAAGACAAACTTTGCATGTTCTCACATATTCGTGAGAGCTAAAAAATTAAAACAATTGAAATCATGCAGATAGAGAGTAGAATTATGGTTACCAGAGGCTGGGAAGGGTAGTGGGGGGGACGGGGGGGAAGTGGGTACCATTAATGGGTACAAAAATATAGTTAGAATGAATAAGACCTACTATTTGATAGCACAACAGGGTGATTACAGTTAACAATAATTTACTGTACATTTTAAAATAACCAAAGAGTATAATTGGAAAGTTTGTAACACAAAGAAATGATAAATGCTTGAAGTCATAGACATCCCATTTACATTGATGTGATTATTACACATTGCATGCCTGTATCAAAATATCTCATATACTCCATAAATATGTACACCTATTATGTACCTATAAAAAAACCAGAGTCTCAGGGACCTTTGGAACCATAATAACAGAGCTAATATTTGTATCATTGTAGTTCTAGACGAAGAGAGATTTGAACTGAAAAAGTACTAAAAGAAATATGGCTAAAAACTTTCCAAGTTTCACAAAAGGCATAAATCTACAGATCCAAGAAGCTCAACTGACCTCAAATAGGGTAAACTCAAATAAATCCACAATTATATGTCCAGGGAAATATCCTTCAGGATTCAAAGGGAAAATAAAGATATTCTCAGATGAATCTATAACCCCATTCTAATCACAATATAAACATTAGACAAATCTCAATTGAGGGACACTGGAAAATACCTAATCGGTACTCCTCAAAACTGTTGAAGTCATCAAAAACAAGGAAACTCTAAGAAACTACCATAGTCAAGTGGACCCTAAGAAGACAGATAATGACAAAGCGTATTGTAGAAACTTCAGTTGGATCCTGAAATAGATAAAAGGCATAAAGTAAAAGCTAAGGAAATATACACTTAATTAATATCATTATCAGCTTATTGATTGTGACAAATATACCATACTAAAGTAAGATGTTTATAATAGCAGAAACTGAGTGTGAGATATATGGGAACTGTCTTGCTATCTCTGCAACTTTTCTATGAATCTAAAACTTTTATAAAATAAGAATTTTAAAATAACCCTAAAATGTAAAGAAATCCCACAACTCAATACTAAAAAGCTACTAATCCAATTCAAATGGGCAAAATTTTTGAACATACCCTCAACAAAGAAGCTCAGATAGCAAATAAGTACATGCAAAGATAACATCATTAACTATCAGGGAAAAGGACATTATAACTAGAATATGTATAGACTAGAATGGCTGTGCTCAAGAAGGCTGACAATGCCTTGTGTTGGCAGGAATGTGGAACTGTTACTGGAAATGCAAAGTGGTACGGCTACTTTGCAAAATATTTTGGCCGATTTTGTGAAGTAAAATATACATTTACCATATGACCCAGGAATCCCACTCCTAGATATTTTTCTGATCGCAATTAAAACAGTTCTGCTAAAATACTTGTACAAATATGTCCAAGGCTATTTTATTCAGAACAGTCCAAAATTAAAAAGATCCCTAATATCTATTGACTGGCTAAAGGAAGAGTAAATTGTCTCATATACAAACAATATATTACTACTTAATAGATTTTGATGGCCTTTAAAAATTTTATTTGGAATTTTTGTGGATACACAGTAGGCATATATATTTCTGGAGCACGTTTGGATATATGCATGCAATGCATAATAATTACATCATTGAAAATGGGGTATCCATCCTCTCAAGCATTTATCTTTTGTGATGGCTTTATAATGTGCCAACCTGGCTGTGTAAGAATTTCCTTTTCTTGTATGTTTCTAGTTAGTATGTACTACTTTTAATGTTCTTATTTGCCATCTGTGTATACTCTTGGATGAAGTGTCTTTTCAAGCCTTTTGTCTATTTTTAAATTGAGTTATTTCTTACTGTTGAGATTTGAGAATTATTTATATATTCTTAATATATTCTAGATACAAATGTTATGCTGGATATGTCTTGCAAATGTTTTCCCCAGTCTGAAGGTTGTCTTTCTAGTCACTTATCAGTATATTTCACAGAGCAAAAATTTTAATTGCAATGAAACCCAATGTGTTACTTTTTAAAATTCCATAGACTCTGCTTTTGATATCATGTCTGAGAACTCTTGTCCTAAATTCTAGCAATGGGATTTCTCCTGTATTTTTTTTCAAATTTTATTATAGTTTTATATTTTACATTTAGTTCTATGATCAATTTTGACTTTTCCTTTTGTATAGGGATTAGGTTTGAATCAAGATTGCTGCATATTAATCTCAAATTTTTCTAACATTGCTTGTTGAAAAGACAATCTATTTTCTACAGTATTCCCTTTTCACCTTTGTGAAAAAAAAATTGCCAAATGAAATTCTTCTGAATTGTACTCTTTAAAATCATTAAAGTGGGAAATTTTATGTGAAAATAAACCTGATCACATTTGTGAAGATCTATTTATGAACACCACGCTCATTAGAACAGATATGTTCCATTGATCTGTGTCTACTCCTTCACCAGTACCAAATTGTCTTACCGATTTTCCAGTCTTCAAATGATTAGTGTGACACATCTAACTTTATTTTTGAGAACTGTTTCAGTTTTCTAATTTCTTTACCTTGCTCTATTAACTTTACAACCATCTTATATGGTACACATCAATAAAAATTCCTGTTGGGATTTTGTCAAATCTGTCAGTTAGTATCACAAAAATTAATGTCTTAACTATTTTGAGTATTTCAGTCAAAGGTATGACATGAATTCCTATTTACTTAGATCTTTTTTTATTTCTTTCCTCAGCATTTTATAGTATTATGTGTAGAGAACCTGTAGATTTATTAGGTTTATACCTGTATATTTCAATTTTTATAGCTATTATAAATATTTTTTAAAAAATTTCAGTTTCTAATTGTTCATTGCTAGTACATAGAAATTTGATTGATATTTGTGTGTTGATCTTGTACCTTGTAACCTACTTAAGGTCATTTATTAGTTTTAGGAACTTTTTTCTAGATTACATGGACATTTCCACTTAGATCATCATGTAATCTGTGCATAGGGATAGTTATATTTTTTTTCTTTCCAATACATATGCCTTTTATCAGGGCCAGTCATTGCTGCTCACATTTACTATCTGCTACTGTCTGATGGGAACAGCCCAGCATCCAAATTCAGGTTAAAAAATATTTTCTGCACTATCACCCCACTTCTCATTCAACTGTCTCCAAAGGTAGAATTTGAATGCTTCCTACCTGAATTTCTCTTATGCTTAATGGTACTGTTTGAGAACTACCTTTTCTTCCCTGCAGAAGCAGCCACTCTGTTCATATCGCATCCCAATGATCTTTATTTCTTTGAAAGTTTATATGAGGATGACTGCTGTGATTGGAATGCTTGTGTTCCATCAAAATTCATATGTTGAAATCCCAACCCTAAGGTGATGATATTAGGAGGTGAGGTATTTGGAAGGTGATTAGGACATAAAGGCTCCTCCCTCACCCATGGGATTAGTGATGTTATAAAACATGATGCTTGAGAAAGACCCTCACCATGAAAGGACACAGCAAGAAGGGGCCATCTATGAACCAGGAAGCAGACCCTCACCCAGACACTGAATCTGCCTTGACGTATGATTTCCCAGCCTTCAGAACTGCGAGAAATAAATTTCTGTTATTTATGAGCCACCCAGTTTATGGTATTTTGTTAAAGCAGCCCAAACAGACTAAGACAATGGCATTTAAAAATTTGTCTATGAAGATTCTAGTTCTTTTCTTCCAGGATGACTTGGAGGCCAAGTGGCTTGAGATGATGCTAGAGATGACCGTACTCACTGGTTTGAAAGAGTTGGTTGTTAGATCCCTCCCTACTGTATTCACCAACTTGACATTGCCTTTTCTACTGCCTTTGAAATTGATTTAAGCTAGATGATTAATACCGGAGTTTTGAAAGATCCCACTTGGTTAATTGGATTAATATAGCCCACCCTATGTTAATTATTTTTTGTCTACATGTATATCAAATCCTGAAAATGACATGTTAAAATCACAATTTATACTAATAAATGTGTTGGAGTCTCACTTTTTTTTTTAATATAGTGTTATTTGGTATATAAATGATCATTTCTCTTAGGTGTTCTGAATAGCCCATATATTTTATTATTCTACATCTTCTGTCTTATTTGTTAATCTAACATATTTGCACTTCCTTTTTTCATCTTAACATTTCCTAGCACATCTTTGCTCCCTCTTACACTTTCTACATCTATAATCTCAAATGATAAATGGTAATAAATGTGTTAATTACAGCAAATTCAATTGCAATGCTGGGGGACTGCTGATAGGAGACAAATAGACTGTGGGAAGATTTCCTCAGAAAAGTATCTTAATCATAGTAACCCTGTATGTTTACCAAACTAGTTAACCAAAGACAATTCATTCATTGATTTGCTCGTTTATTCTTTTAATAAATGTCTGTTGACTGTCTCATACATTCCAGGTACCATTCAATTGTCAGGAATATAGCCGGGAACAAAGGAAAAAATACCTGCCTTCATAGATCATAAATTCTGGAGGAACAGATTAATAAATAACAAATGAATTTACACTATAAAATCAGGTAATGGTCATACTATGAAGAAGTAATAGAGTTAAGGGTGCAGATAATTACATGGGGTGGAGGAGAGACTATTTTATATAGGCATATCCAGGAAAGAATTCTCTGAAAATATGATATTTGAGCAGATACTTGAATGAAATGAAGAATCGAGCCATGTGAAGAATCAGGGGATAAGCATCCCAAGAAGACAAAGGAATATGTGTTTTGTAGTAGAGACGGGGTTTCACTATGTTGGCCAGGATGATCTTGATCCCTTGACTTCGTGATTCACCGGTCTCGGCCTCCCAAAGTGCGAGGATTACAGGCATGAACCACTGCACAAAGTCTCGTTTCTACTAAAAATACAAAAATTAGTTGGGCATGGTGGAATGTGCCTGTAGACCCAGCTGCTTGGGAGGCTGAGGCAGGAGAGTCACTTGAGCCTGGAAGCCGGAGCTTGCAGTGAGACGAGATCGTGCCACTGCACTCCAGCCTAGCGACAGAGCAAGACTCTGTGTCAAAACAAAACAAAACAAAAACCAGAAAAACCACTGTGCTTGGAGCAGAGCAGGAGGCATGAGGGAAGAAGTGAACTCGAGAAAAACCTGATCATTCAGTGCCTCATAGGCAAGGTAATGACTGGATCTTTCTAAAGTATGCATCCATGGGCACATTTTAAGTAATAAAGTAATTTGGTAGGATTAAGGTTTTTAGTGGCTATTAATGCTGCATGGAGAACAGAGTATATAGAGACAAAAGTGAAGACAGGAAGTCAATTTAGGAGAGAGACCATATTTGAAAGTAACAATAATGATAAAAATACATGTCAAGCATGCACACGTGCTTTGTTTACATTTTCCTATTTAATTCTCATTACAATGCTGCAAGGTATTACTCCAGTCTTACAGACAAGGAGAATGAAGCAGAGGCTAAATAAATTGCATGAGGTCACACACCTAGGAAGTGGTGGACCTGGGGTTTAAGTCAGGTGTGAGAGTGATCTCACAAACTATATACTGCCCTATGCACTTTGCCTTTAGGTCAATTACACAAGCATTGCCATTAGTGCACTTCCCAATTTTATGTATTTCTCATTTGCTGTATGATGATATTCATTTAAGTATCTTATTTCCTCACTGATTTCTTTCAAAGGAAGGAGATATATCTAACCAAATTAACATTTTGTGGCTATTTGAAATTCTAAATATTTGCTGGAAGGAGAGAGGCCAAGTATAAAATCTTTAATTAGAACAGATATATACTACATTCTTCCAAGACTGTGTGGTATCTAATGAAGTACATGATATAATCCATGAGAAGTCATGAGTGACTTTTAGGGTCTTCATGATAAATGGCAAATCAGCAGCATTTTTAGTCTCAACTTTTATCTTATCTGAATTACTAATTAAAACCAGAAAGGGTGTCTATATTTATGTGATGATGCATAACAAATGAAGACAAGTAGTTTTGCATTTGTCTTTTAGGAACAAGTGCACCATTATAGGAAAAAACAGATTAGCATCCTTCTTGGCATATTCCACAACGATCCTATTTATATGAAAGAGCTGCAAATGCACAATATGTACAGAGCATTAGTTTGGCAAGATCAACCCTGTGCTCTGGTTTATGGCTGTGATTCAAACTTCCTTATTGTTTCCATAGTTTTGGAATCACTCTTTCATTTAACAGTCTTTTATGAAATATTTGCCTTTTTTTGTTCAAAGCTTTTTCCAACACCCCTAAGAAATTATCAGCAGGAGCAGGAAGCCTAGTTTTCGGAGAACTATTAACTATATCAAGAGTTAGCTGATGAAAAAGACCACACAGTGGTCTAAGTCTTGCTTGTACTGAGGCTTCTTAAAGGTTCAATAAAAATAAACAGTTATATTTTACTAGATTCAGTGTAGAGTTTTTCTCATGAACTATATGTGATTATCAATCAAATATATATATACATATATACATACATACATACATACATACATACATTTACAGCATGGGTTAAGGATACAGTTTGCTTTCTCACATACACCTATGCAGAGACAAATCTGACAATTAGAAGGGTCTCTGTTAAGCATCATGGGATGATACAAATTTGTATCAGACATGGAACCTTCCACATACATTTTGAGAGTAGGTGAAACATAACAGAGCCAGTTCTGTAGCAAAGGTTATGTGAGTGATTCAAAAATGCTATGCAAAGACAAAAAATAAAAGCACTTCTGGCCTGTATAATGATACAGCTACATAGTAATGTAATAGAAAAGTAAGAGCTAAAGTAATCAAGAACAATAAACAGTAACACAAAGACGAAAAATTAACTTGGAGAATTAGGAAAGTTAATTTAAAAAAGAGAACTTACAAGACACATATAGAGAACGTTCTTTTATTCATAAAAAGAAAATCATGAAAATTATCTGATAATCAGTAGGAAAAACTAGAATTGTACCTCACAGTGACAACATAAGAACTTACGTACTGTATTAGGAATATAGGTAGAAATTTTTATCTTTTGAGTAAAAATAAATGATGTAAAATTTTAGAAGGAACATTGTCTTTCTGCCTCCATCTCTCCAGGCACACATTGTGAAGGAATTTGCTTTAGGCTTGAGACGGAGAAAAGGTAAGTTCTTAAAAGTTTTTGGTCGCCATTCTAACTCGTGTGAGACAGTATCTCATGGTGGTTTTGATTTGCATTTCTCTGATGGCCAGTGATGATGAGCATTTTTTCATGTGTCTGTTGGCTGCATAAATGTCTTCTTTTGAGAAGTGTCTGTTCATATCCTTTGCCCACTTGTTGATGGGGTTGTTTGTTTTTTCATGTAAATTTGTTTGAGTTCTTTGTAGACTCTGGATATTAGCCCTTTGTCAGATGAGTAGATTGCAAAAATTTTCTCCCATTCTGTAGGTTGCCTGTTCACCCTGATGGTAGTTTCTTTTGCTGTGCAGAAGCTCTTTAGTTTCATTAGATCCCATTTGTCAATTTTGGCTTTTGTTGCCATTGCTTTTGGTGTTTTAGGTATGAAGTCCTTGCCCATGCCTAAGTCCTGAATGGTATTGCCTAGGTTTTCTTCTGGATTTTTATGGTTTTAGGTCTAACATTTAAGTCTTGAATCCATCTTGAATTAATTTTTGTATAAGGTGTAAGGAAGGGATCCAGTTTCAGCTTTCTACATATGGCTAGCCATTTTTCCCAGCACCATTTGTTAAACAGGGAATCCTTTCCCCATTGCTTGTTTCTGTCAGGTTTGTCAAAGATCAGATAGTTGTAGATGTGTAGTATTATTTCTGAGGGCTCTGCTCTGTTCCATTCGTCTATATCTCTGTTTTGGTATCAGTGCCATGCTGTTCTGGTTACTGTAGCCTTGTAGTATAGTTTGAAGTCAGGTAGCGTGATGCCTCCAGCTTTGTTCTTTTGGCTTAGGATTGACTTGGCAATGTGGGCTCTTTTTTGGTTCCATATGAACTTTCAAGTAGTTTTTTCCAATTCTGTGAAGAAAGTCATTGGTAGCTTGATGGGGATGGCATTAAATCTATAATTAAAAGTCAGAAAACAACAGGTGCTGGAGAGGATGTGGAGAAACAGGAACACTTTTAAACTGTTGGTGGGACTGTAAACTGGTTCAACCATTGTGGAAGGCAGTGTGGCAATTCCTCAGGGATCTAGAACTAGAAATACCATTTGACCCAGCCATCCCATTACTGGGTATATACCCAAAGGATTATAAATCATGCTGCTATAAAGACACATGCACACGTATGTTTATTGTGGCACTATTCACAATAGCAAAGACTTGGAACCAACCCAAATGTCCAACAATGATAAACTGGATTAAGAAAATGTGGCACATATACACCATGGAATACTATGCAGCCATAAAAAATGATGAGTTCATGTCCTTTGTATGGACATGGATGAAGCTGGAAACCATCATTCTCAGCAAACTATCGCAAGGATAAAAAACCAAACACTGCATGTTCTTACTCATAGGTGGGAATTGAACAATGAGAACACTTGGATACAGGAAGGGGGACATCACACACCAGGGCCTGTTGTTGGGTGGAGGGAGGGGGGAGGGATAGCATTAGGAGACATACGTAATGTAAATGACGAGTTAATGGGTGCAGCACACCAACATGGCACATGTATACATATGTAACCTGCACGTTGTGCACATGTACCCTAGAACTTAAAGTATGATAAAAAAATATATATATACATATATATATGTATATATATGTATATATATGTGTGTATATATATGTATATATATGTGTGTATATATATGTATATATATATGTGTGTATATATATGTATATATATATGTGTGTATATATATGTATATATATATGTGTGTATATATATATGTATATATATATGTGTGTATATATATATGTATATAAAAAGTTTTAGACAACGAGTAAATGACTGGTAATGAATAAATGGTGACAATATAAGTTATATTAATTTAAATAATAATGAATAGTATGTTACTTAAAGCATCCAAGTAGAACTTAAATGACCTTATCTCAGAGGTGTTGTAGAGATAATTCCTTTTTTAAAGTAAAAAAAATTGGCATAAGTGGATTACTTCTAAGCTTCATCTCAAATATGAGATATTTGTGTATAATGTTTAATTTACTTTGTTTAGGCTATTGATTTTCCTGATACTATTCCTTTTTGTTATAAACATCTTATTGATTTTTGTTTATTGTAAGTATCAGATGCAAAATCTATCATTGCATCTGTATCTATCACTGCCTATTTACTGTAGCAAAAATTTATAACCAAGGAAACACAGAGTGAAAAACAAAGAGATAACATCTCATTAAATATGCAACTTATATCAAAAGTTTTATGCTATATTTGTTCTTATTACACAAAGTATGTTCATAGTAGGACATTTACAAGACTCAAATAAAATATAAATCACCCTGTGGGCCAAGGAAAGGAAACATTTTTTTCCCTTCCCTTCTCACTTTCCAGAACAGAGGATTAATATTATAGGCTATATGCTGGAATGCTGATTTTTAGGGCATATTTTCTAGCGCCAGAATCACTGCATTTTAAAAGGTGAGAACCTGGAGGTGGTTTTCTTCTCACTTCCACATAAGTGGCTGAAGTTGTAATTGGATCCAGGCCTTCTAAGAGGCCCAACCTGTTCCCTCCTATCTTCTGCCACCAGAATATAGGAGGGCCCAAGATGCAGTCTGGGAGTGGAGGAAGTGAGGGGCTCAGTGAGCAGTGAGTTTAGAAGAGATCCTTTACATCTGTATCCTAGGGCACGAGCCTACTAGGATTTCAGACACACAGCCTAATAACATTTTGTTTGTTTGTTTCTTGGAGGACTTGGGTAGAAGAAAGGCTGACATATGGGACAGGCATACAGTATTACTTGATCAAATATAATCTACTAGCACTATAATCTCTGATTTTCAACAATTCCCTCTACCCAGAGATAATCACTGGACACTTTAGTAAAAATAATAATAATAATCTCTTTAATTCCAAGCCTTTATGTCTTCTTTTCCTGCTAATGGGTCCAGGAGGGTTTTGTCATTATTAACATAATCTTCTGAAATGCACATTATAAAGCCTATATTTTAATATAACAATTACCTTCCATGACATTAAATATATTTTATAACATTTAAAAGTTTGCTTGCATCTATATTTAATTATGGGACACATGGGTGTCCAATATTGTTAGTGGCCATCCAACAGCCATTCTCTCTCCTTTTCCTGCTAATTTAATCATGATTTTATGCTTAGTCCATAGGAAATTATTCAAAACTTCTCCAAATCAATCATGAAAATTCTATTTTTCCAGGTACCTACTTTCCCAGACTCCTTGCAGTTGGAATTTGCCATGTGACCCACTTTTGGCAATAGAGAGGTAAGGGCAAGTTGGCTAGGATAGGAGGATTTCAGAGGAATGTCACTCCTCCCCAGGATGAATGGAGAACTCCATTTACTGTCTTCTTGTTTTTGTTTTCCCAGCCATGTTTTTTGGATCTATGGCTGTAACTTTATGACCCAGAGAAGTGAAACTAAGGAAATGCCATCAAATGAGGATGACAGAGAAGGAGGCTAGAAAGAGAGGGGTTACTCCATAAGATCACAGAGCCACTGAAGCAAACCTGGAATAGGCTACCTTGAGACTATATAATAGAGTTTTCTGTGCCTTGCAGCTAAATAAAACCTATGTTTCAAACCTTTTCCTCTTATGAGCAGAACTTTTATGAACATTTATATACTGGTGTCTTTATTCATATCTGTGATTATGTCTTTATGATGAACTCCTAAAGACGGAATTACCAATTCACAGGAGATGCAAAACACTAAGAAAGACTTTTGGTACACACTGTCAAATTGCCCTCAAGAAAGATCGCACAAATTCAGGATTCAATAAACACTATAGAAACTCTTAAAAATGTAACTGTACCAAAACAGTTGATTTTCCTTAAGGAGAGCCTACATCTCTGCAACTTTTTAGAAAGCCCAGCAAAACTCCAAGAGAAGACAAAATAAATAAAGTCTGGGAAACACAGTAAAATATATAGAATGACATCTTCAATCTGTAAATGCATAAATACATAAAGAAATCATCTAAGTTTCCAGACTTATGGATACCTGGTAGAACTATCAACTGACGAGGCTGGCTGAGTTTCAGATTTTGAATATCTCAATTAGCCTGTGCAGGAACAGTCACTTTGGAGCACAGCATAGCTCTGTGGATAATGTGCTTGTCCCCTGAAGACTGTCACAAGAGAGCCTGAAAAAAGAAAACTGCCCCTGGAATTCTATTCTCAGACACGTAGTGCTGAGTTTGTGACTTAAAATCCTTACTTCCCCATCTGCCCAGTCTGTTTTCCCTAATAAAGGTCATTTCAAAGAGTTATAAAGGCAAACATCAGCAGTAGCATATTAAATGCAGTGAAATGGTAGTGAAACATACGGCAGGCTGATTACTGCAATATAGCTCAAATTTATGACACAATAGAACCCCATTATCGGGTTAGTTACCTAAAAGGTGAAAGAAAGGTCAAAGGTATAGAATGTCCTTTGGAGAAGTTTTATTTGTCAATCTCTGTATTATAGATGTTTGACAAGTTAATTTTTCAATGTACCCCACTGTGACTATTCTCAGTATCTAAATTTACCTGCTCAGATAGGTCTAAGGAAAATCTCTGTGACACAAAATGTCATTTCTCCTAATGTAAAATTTATTTCCAGCTTCCTTTGGGATTAGTTAACACTAGAAATACACGGCAGTTGCAAATATCTATCCATTCTGATAAGAATAATAAGTTCATGACTACTATCCTTGACTGCTCTAATAAATGAGTCTATTTACTTCTAGCTATATATTCTCATTCTGTATGTCTGACACACGGATATGGTGTTAATGAAAGAAGCGATATGGGAAGACCTGGGATCTAGGACCAGCACTGTGAACAACACATTATTTGCTTTATAATAATTTAGGTTATTGACACAGGTGTGAAAGAATGACAACCACATGAGAATATTATGGTATGGTAAAAGTCAAGAAGTGGTAAAACCCAGAAAAGAAAAGGAAACAATCCCCCTGGTTTTAAAAGGCTTAAGCTCAACGATAAAAGTATTGTTGTTGTTAAAAGAAAGAAACTAAGGGACTACTGCATACATCCAGAGGTATCCACATGGTCTTTGACCTTGAGATGTTTACAAAGTTAATTAAGAGGGGAGTACAAGTGCATAAAAAAAAGTCGACTATGATGCCCACACAAAGAAAACAACATGTGAAGACTGGAATTTTGCTCTCACAAGCCAAGGAGCTACCCCAAGCTCCTACCCAAAGCTAGGAGAAGGGCTGGAGCAGATCCTTTGGAGAGAGCGTAGTCCTGCTGGCACCTTAACTTTAGACTTCAAGTCTTAGGAACTCTGAGGCAATACATTCATGTTGTTCTTAGCCAGTTTGTGATACTTTGTTATAGCAGCTCTGGGAAAGTAATACACTTGTGTCCTCCATATTTCTCACCATCTGAAAGTTACTTCGTTTATTTTTTTATTTGTGTCTTATTTCCCATCTTATTTCCTGCATAGACTGTCCCATGAGAGGGAGCACAGTCCTTTTCTGTGTGCCGGAGATTCATATTTGGATGATATGCGATACTTATCTTTGAGGGACTTAATGAAGTATTTGTAACTAAAATGTAAAGCATTTCTATTCCATTAAGTGAATGAATATTGAAGTCCTGCTACGTTCTAGATGCTGCTACAAACATGGGACGCAGTGGGTAGCAGGAAAACCTGGCCCCTTCTCTGAGTTTACATTCTGCAGAGAGAAAGATAATAAACAAAATAAAGAATATAGAACATGGTGTAATAAATATTAGAATTGTGAGATAAATGTAAATGGCTTGATCAAGAAAGGTCAGTCAGAAATAAACTAGATTGGTTTGAGGAACAGAGAGGAAGTGAGTGTTCAGATCAGGTAAATGAAGTAGTAGGTGGACAAATGAGAATGAGAGGAAGAGGTGTTGGATCTCATAGGGCCTGGCAAGCTATGGCTAGGGTTTGGATTTTATTCTAAAGCATAATGGAAAGCCATTAGGAGGTTCCAACTAAGATCATACCATGTTTTCAATTCTTATTTTTTATGTTAATTTTTTGAATTTTAAATTTTGGTGCATACATAGTAGGTGTATATGTTTATGAGTTACATGAGATACTTTGATACAGGCATGCAATGCATAATAATCACATCAAGTATCAATAATCAAGTATCACTCTAGCTGCTGTGGGGTAAACAGACTATACGGAGACAAAATTAAACCCAGAAAGATTATTTGACATGGGGGCTATTGCTAATTGTGGCTTTGTCTGGGGTGCTGGCACAAGTGTTGAGAAGAGTACATGTTGTCAGTTGTATCTTGGAGGTATAGCTAATAGGAGCAGCCATTGGATGGAATATAGAGGTGCTGGAAAATAAGAAATCAGTCCTAATTCTTAGGTTTCTCCATGACCTCTTACCAATTAAAATAAAACTGTATTTATTGGATGGCAATTCTTCAACTGAGAAGAGTTTACTTGATGTTTACATAGAAGATGGTAGGTAGCCATCTGGGATAGATGATTTTTAAGCTTTTACAACCCTGAGTGCCTATGATCCTTATGTTTAGAGCAAAGCTGCTACTCTACCTTTGGTCAAACAGTCCTAGGAATTAAGCTCGCACAGTGAAATGATAGTATGGAACTAGGATGGAGACTCCATCCATACTCTAAACATGTTATTTATGAATTTTCCAATGTTATATAATGCTTTAATAACAATCCTTTTCTGGATCCCTTTGTATTGTAGGTTTAGTGTTAAATTCTTTGCATATGCTACCAATTAATCCTCATAAAAATGCTGTGCAGTAAATAGGATGAGCCTCATAAATCAAACAACTGAGTCTGAGAGGACAGTAATAAGGCCAGGATTTAAGGGCCAGGAAGTGACATAACCAGAGTTGTAACCCATATTTTTTCTAACTTCCAAGTCTGTTCTACCTGCCCTCTGATTTGTAAAGACCTTCAATGAGTAATAAAGACTGTAAGAAGAATTAAAAATAAGGTAAAACAAATAAATACTTTTATCTTTTAACTTATTTGAAATTTGGTTTGACATATAAGATAGTATAAATTTGTTTCCGTGTGTGAATATATACATACAAATTATAAATATATACACATGCATAAAATATATATAAATTTATATGAATATATCTATTGACTCTGTATAGGTATATACATACTCTACACACACAGACACATGCACACACTCTGGATAGAAACAAAATATATTATTAAAATAGGTAAAATTCCCTTGCCATGAGTGACTTTTGTGATTTCAGAACTAACCAAGTATTCTTACAATACATCAACACTTTTTGCTTATTGGAGAAGCTTCCTCAAAGCCAAAATGAGAGAGAAATCTTTAAAAAAAAAAAAAAAAAAGTGGGATGCAATTTTCATTGCTTGCTCTATGTTCCCATTCACTGGTTGCTTAGAGAAATAAATCAAAGTGACAACGAGTTGAAATGGAAATCAAATTTTGCTAGCATTTTCATTCAAAGAAGAATTCTTCAAAAAGCCGAAATTAGAAGAAAAAATGAAAGTCATCCTCACTGCTAATGAAATGTTCCCTTGCTGTCTTGCAGGATGTGGCTGCAAGAAAAACAACTTGGACTTAACCAGAAACTCAAAATACACTGCATTTTCAACTTAGTAATTAGGCTTATATGGGATGTCACAAACAGTGATTGTTACAATGGACTGGCTTTGAAATGCATACTCTGGATTAAATGGTACTTGAATGGTGAAGGCACATTCTGCAGGCATGGCTAATCTATGTGAAATGATGGTGCTGGGGAAGCCACTCCTGCTGGCTCTGACTAAAGCCTGTCCCCATGCACCTGCTGGAAGAGCAGGTGTTTTTTTTCCATAGATCTGATTTTAAAAATAAGGTTAAAAGATGACAGCTGTGAGAAAATGAAGCCATCCTCTAGAGAGTAGCTGCCTTATGGGATAAGGAAAACAGTTCTTGGAAGCAAACCCTGCAGCACTTTATTAGTCAGGTGTGAAAGGAGAGCTGTCTTCTCTGGAACTTAGGCTGAAAATTTTTCTTTTAACCCTCACCTTGGCAATATAATTTTTTACTCTTCGAAAAGTAAAGAAAATGAACCTCTGTGGCCATATATTCTTTTCACATTTTTTGACAAATATTTATTGAGCAATTATTTAAATGCTATAATTGACAATACTAATATGAACCTAAAAAACTAAAGAACTCTATGTATAAGGAAATTTTAATGTACATTAACTAAAACATTGTAATCCAGCATTTAGCACTTCTACACACATGTGAACAGGCTGTTGTTATTATCTGCTGAGGTCATTTGGTGGTACTGCTCAGGGTTACTAAAATTTTTACCATGAATAACATTTAAAAATCAAATATATTTTGTACGATTTCTACTTATACAGGACATGGATACCATGAAGCAATTTAATGATAAAGAAGATACTTTTCCTACATTGAGAGAGCTAAGAATCTGATGGAGAAAAGAAACACACAATAAAATTCAAGTCCAAGTGGTTTCTTAATTTCCCCAGTTGGATTTCATCTCTCTGTTCTGCACTTCTAGGACACTTTCAACAAGTACCTGAACTTGTCCTGGAAGTGCAGAACAGAGAGAAATGAAATTCATCTTGGGTAGTTAGGGAACCATTTAAGGAGATCATAGTTGAATCTGGGTCTCAGCCTCAACGTAAAGAAAGATTAGTGAAGCACAATGAATAATCCAGCAGAAAGATGGGTAGAAACAGTGAAAAGCCCAGAGACCAGAAAATTTGGAGAGTGACAAACAATAATACGGTGTGGGGTGGGAGTAGGGGAAGGGGATATTTTAGCAGAAGATTAAGATGAATCTTCTGCTAAGAAGTAATCTGGCCTCGAATACGCTATCATGCTAACAAATGTGGACCTTATTTTTGTAGAAAATTTGGAAACATCAGCAGTTTTGAGCAGTAGAGGTTCATGATTTTAATGAAGCTTTAGTAAGATAATGCTTGTGGCTATGTTGAGGACAGAAAGACCAGTTTGGAAGCTATCATAATACAGCCAACCCCTGACTTAAGATGACTTTACTTAAGAATTTTTGACTTTACAATGGTGCAAAAGTCATACACATTCAGTAGAAAACATATTTTGACTGTCCATACAACCGTTGTTTTTCACTTGTAGTATTTAATAACATACATGAGATATTCAACAACTTTATTATAAAATAATATTTGTGTGAGATGCCTTTTGCCCCACTATAGTGTAAATTAAGTGTTCTGAGCACACTTAAGGTAGGCTGTGCTAATAAGCTATGATGTTCTGTAGTTAAGTGTACTAAGTGCATTTTCAACTCAATATTTTCAGCTTAAAATGGGTTTATTGGGATGCAACCCAACATAGGGAAAGGAGCATCTGTAGTTGCAAGAAATAATATTTTAAGAGGCAAGAGGTAATTAAGTTTCAAATTAGTGCAGTGGAAGTAAGAATGAGGTAGGATGCAGATATCGGTAATGTGAAGAAATAGAATTAGTATTGGTTGTTAGCAGTTTGAGTTTTTGGTCAGCTATTCATATGACGATGTCTTGACCACTATTAGAAATTCTGATCAGGGGTCAAGGGAAACCAGGGTTGGAGATGTAGATCTGAGAGTTCTCTGCATTGAATTTATGAGTTAGCCATTTAGGTGTAGATGGATGCTGTCCAAAGGAAAAAAATGTAGCAATCCTAGATAGAGAACCTGGGAAGATACCAGTATTTAGGAGTTGGCTTAAGAAGCAAAGTCATCAAGGGAGTATTCACAGGAATACAGAAAGGAGTGATAAGTAGTGGTCCAGGCTATGGAGAAGCCAAGTCAGATGGACTGAAGAAGGAAGAAGTTGGTCTTAGTAATATGTGATCATTTTGACAACTGGTAGAGAAGATTCAGAGACAGTGCGATAGCCAAGTCCAAACTGCTGTGGGTTGGGAAATAAAGAACTGAGAAAGGAGAGTCAGTGAACAGAGATGACTGTTTATGGCATTCAGTATTTAGGATGAGAGAGTACATTGAGTGAGAAGTAGAGGAAAATGGGATTTTGGGTGGTGGGTGGGGGTGGGGGTGGGAATAAGGACACAAGAGAATGTCCCTGGAAGGCTAGACAACCTGGAAAAGGAGAAAATAAAGAGTGAGAGAGAGGATCTAAGATGGGTAAAGACAAACACGTAGTTGAAGTATATGGGTTGCCATGGTGAGGTAGAGAGAATGTTTACAAATGCAGAAGGTTTTGAGATGGATGACAAGAAAGCCCACAAAGTTGAGAAACTGGGAAGTACAGCAGTTAAAGGTGATGGGCCAAGGCAGATAGAAGCAGGAAGAAAAGACTGGAAATGAGACTGAATAAGGTTTAGAGAAGGAGACCTGGTTGTTGAAGTCACTCAAGAGGAAGGCAAGAGCAGAAAAGGAGAAGAGAAAAATCTTATAACTAATTGGTGTTACTATCTCTATCAGGCTATAGGTAGCATGTGCATACATTTATACATGTACATACATGTACACACATATATGTCATGCATCACAACTATAGGGATATGTTCTGAGAAATATGCCATTAGGCAGTTTCATCATTGTGCAAATATCATAAGAGGACTTACACCAACCAAGATGGAATAGCCTACTACACACCATGCTATATGGTGTACCTTATTGATCCCAGGCCATAAAACTGCACAGCATGTTACTGTATTGAATACTGCAGGCAATTGTAACACAATGGTAAATATTTGTCTATCTAAACATAGAAAAGGTACAGTAAAAATAGTGTTATAGGTCAGGCTCGGTGGCTCACACCTGTAATCCCAACACCTTGGGAGGCCAAGGCAGACAGATCACATGAGGCCAGGAGTTCGAGACCAGCCTGATCAACGTGGCAAAACCCCATCTCTACAAAAAATACAAAAATTAGCCAGACATAGTGTTTCATTATCTGTAATCCGAACTACTTGGGAGTCTGAGACACAAGAATTGCTTGAACCTGGGAGGTGGAGGTTGCAGTGAGCTAAGATTGCACCACTGCACTCCAGCCTGGGTGACAGAGAAAGACCCTGTCTCAAAAAGAAAAAAAAATACAGTGTTATAATCTTATGGGACCACTACTGTATATGTGATCTGTCATTTACTGAAATGTTATTATGTAGCACATGATTATACATACATACATATATATATTCTATAATACCTATGAAATTTTAATATTAATTCCTGTTCCTGCTTCTTTTTTCAGAAATGAGATTACATTTGGGGAAGTATTTTCAAGGTCCTAAAATCAAGTTGTTATAATGAGAGAACAGAGAAGACTCTGTAATATTTCACATTATGTAGTGTTTTTTTCAGTCATCAGAACACTTACACATATTACATGGTTTTATAACCCTGGGTACTATTTAGGCAGGAATTTTTTTTCTATTCTGCAAATGAAAAAAACATGTTGTGGCCACACAGATCTTCATATTTTGAAACCCAACCCACAGCATTTTTTACGGTAAACTATATATCACACTGCCTTTCTGCTCAAAGACTTTAAATGATTTTTTCTATGCAAAATTAAAATATGAAATATTTTCAGTGTTCAGGTTCTTATAAACTGAGTTTATATGCATATTGGTATATTAATATACTCCTTATAATTTTTATGAAATTTCAACATTCATTACATGTTCCTTTGAATTCCAAGAAAATCTTTCATTGCATGAATATTACCATTATCTCACTTTCCAGCTTTCTCAAAGCCGGGCACTGTGAGGAATGCCTCAGACTGGCAAAAAAAAAAAAAAAGTTAGGATGTTACTGGAGAGAAAAGAAACTGCACTTTGATAATATTAATTATTTAGCTGAAAGGTATGGTTCAAATATTCAAGAAGCTTTTGGCATTTCCCACATTACAGTCAGGCACTAGAACGTAGCAACACAGAAATGTACTTGTTACCTGAGGCATGTTTTAATTTGGGGTTCAATGATTCAGTCCTACATGACCAACTAAAATAAAAACCTATATTCTGGAAGTTGGTTTGTGAGGACTTTGGGGTTAACAACTCTGAACAACTTAAGCACTACCTACCAGAGTATGCTGCTTGTTTTCTTTGGCTTAGAATTGTACATAGGTAGAAAATGATGAACATCCATTCAATTGTGACATCTTTTCTTTGTCATTTCATAGAAAAGGGGATATGTCATCAGTTGGGCAGCAATAAGAACTGCATTCTTCTAAAGTGGATTTTAAAGTTATTAACCCAGAGTTTCATCAGGGTTCCTTTTAGTAGGACCAATATCAAGGGACAGTTTCTGTTGCATCTGACCTGCAATTTATTTTTTATCAAGTTATGTCAGAACTAAAAAGTGGTGGGGTTAAGAGCATCAGTGCTTTCTGCAATGTCAAGGAACCCATTTTTGAATACTAGTTCTTTCCCCATGGTTCTGTCTGAGGCATGTAATTTAAAAAGTCTGCCGTATTATTTTGGAGGTTAAGCTGAGCACTTCTTTGGGTAATTGGGGTCATCTTCCAGTGGGCAGTACTTGAACTGAGACAATTCTGATTTTAATTTTTTTTTCTGAGGATATCTTGAGAGATGGCAGTGAAAAAGTCAGAATAGAATGCTCTATTTTTAAGAAGGATTTATGAATGTTTTAAAAAATTCTTTGTCCCACATATATCTAATTTTTTTATACGTACAGAATTGTTCATTTCAGAACTTTTTAGGAAGTACTTTTAAATGTTTCTGATATAGTTCTTAGAAGTAAGATTATTCATTCATTCACTCCATTCCTTTTGATTTTCTTTGATATTAGTACATGTGAGGCGAGCAGAAAAAATAAAATCTGCCTTCTAAAAACACTTTGCAGGGCCAGGCGTGGTGGCTCACTCCTGTAATCCAAGCACTTTGGGAGGCTAAGGCGGGCAGATCACGAGGTCAAGAGATCAAGACCATCCTGGCCAACATGGTGAAACCCTGTCTCTACTAAAAATACAAAAATTAGCTAGGCATGATGGTGAGTGCCACTCGTCCCAGCTACTCAGGAGGCCGAGGCAGGAGAATTGCTTGAACCTGGGAGGAAGAGGTTGCAGTGAGCCGAGATATTTTGCATCTTCTCTTTTATTGCAGGATTTTTAAGAACTTACTTTTGAAATGCTGCAGAGCTGTGGTGCTGCAGAAAATGGATATTCAGCATAGTGAGACTTAACTTTCAATATGAATTTGATTGAAATCAGATGGGAAAACATTCTGGATCATTCTTCCTTCTCCTCTTGTCTGCTGGATATTATCTCTATAAATAAAAATAACCCCTGCAAAATGATAATTTGCATAATGATTTTCTTATTGCTTTTTGTAGGAGAAAAAAAAATAACAAGAAAATGACCATGGAAAGTAACAACAACTGAAAACGGATAAAATGAAGATGTGTGAAAGAGCACAAGAGTGCAAAACCAAAAGTATACAAGGAGTGTTTATGCAGTAACCACTTTAGAATGCCTTTCCTCATGTTTGAAGACTTCTAAACTAGGGCAAGGACAGATCCCAGCAACTACTGGAAGCATAATAAAGGAGAAGAATGAGGCATTTTCTTCTCTCATATACAGATTATATGTAATTAGGATGCTAAGGATAATTTTGTAACATAAAAACGGAGATGCTAAGGAGAATGGTTTCACCCTAGTTTATAGAAGGAGGGTATACTATGGTCTATCAAAGACTGAAAATTGTCCTCTGCTAATAAAGTCTCAAATCAGGGCAATTGGATTTCTTTCTTTTTTTTTTTTTATTATACTTTAAGTTTTAGGGTACATGTGCACAATGTGAAGGTTTGTTACATATGTATACATGTTCCATGTTGGTGTGCTGCACCCATTAACTCATCATTTACATTAGGTATATCTCCTAATGCTATCCCTCCCCACTCTCCCAGCCCCACAACAGGTCCTGGTGTGTGATGTTCTCCTTCCTGTGTCCATGTGTTCAATTCCCACCTATGAGTTGAGTTAGAGTTACTAGTCTCAAATAAATGCTTGGTAATGCCATACAATCTAAACATGTTGTCACTGTCAACTCACTATCTCATATTCTGCAATGATACCCTTCTATATTCTGAAATTCCTTCCCCATTCTCAGCAGATAGCCTCAGATCATATATCATACACACAATTGAACATATCACATAGAAATTTCATCAGCTCACTGCCTCCAATCCAATGAACCTAACATCTACTAACATCAACACCATCCAGGAAACCATGACCTCACCAGATGAACTAAATAAGGCACCAGGGAAAAATACCAGTGAAACAGAGACATGTGACCTTTCAGACAGATAATTCAAAATAGCTGTGTTGAGGAAACTCAAATTCAAGATGATACAGAGAAGGAATTCAGAATTAGATAAATTTAACAAAGAGATTGAAATAATTAAGAATCAAGCAGAAATTCTGGAGCTGAAAAACGCAACTGGCGTATTGAGAAATGCACCAGAGTCTCTTAATAGCAGAACTGATCAAGCAGAAGAATGAATTAGTGATGTTGAAGACAGACTATTGGAAATGCACAGTCAGAAGAGAAAAAAGAAAAAACAATGAAGCACGCCTACAGGATCTAAAAAATAGCCCCCAAAGGGCAAATCTAAGAGTTACTGGCCTTAAAGAGGGGGGGCTCAACACCCAAGTACAAAAAGGTTAGAGAACACCAAGTAGATTTAATCTAAAGAAGACTACCTTGAATCGTTTAACAATTAAACTCCCAAAGGTCAAGGATAAAGAAAGGATACTAAAAGAACCAAGAGAAAAGAAACAAGTAACATACACTAGAGCTCCAGTACACCTGGTAGCAGACTTTTCAGTGGAAACCTTACACACCAGGAGAGTGACATGGCATATTTAAAGTGCTAAAGGGTGGAAAAAAAGCCTTTTACCCTGGAATATATCTGACAAAAATATCTCTCAAACATGAAGGAGAAAATAAAGACTTTCCCAAACAAAAACTGAAGGATTTCATTAATACCAGATCTGTCCTATAAGAAATGCTAAAGGGAGTACTTCAATCAGAAAGAAAAAGCCATTAATGAGTAATAAATAATCACCTGAGGTACAAAACTCGTAAGTATACAGAAAAACACAGAATATTCTAACATTGTAACTGTGGTGTGTCAACTACTCTTATCCTAAGTAGAATGACTAAACGATGAATGAATCAAAAATTATAATGACAACAAATTTTCAAGACATAGTCAGTACAATAAGACATAAATAGAAACAACAAAAAGTTAAAAAGTAGGGGGACCAAGTTATGGCATAGAGTTTTTATTAGTTTTCTTTTTGCTTGTTTATTTATGCAAGTAGTGTTAAGTTGTTAACAGGTTAAAATAATGGGTTAAAAGATAGTATTTGAAAGCCTTATGGTAACTTCAAACCAAAAAACATACAATGGCTACACAAAAAAATAAAAAGCAAGAAACTCTCATATCACCAGAGAAAATCACCTTCACTAGAGGAAGACAGGAAGGCAAGAAAGAAAAGACCACAAAGCAACCAGAAAACAAATAACAAAATGGCAAGTGTAAGTCCTTACTTGTTGATAATAACACTGAAGTAAATGGACCAAATTCTCCAATCAAAAGACATAGACTGGCTGAGTGGCTGAAAAAACAATACTCATTGACCTTTTGCCTATGAGAAACACATTCAACCTATAAAGACACCCATAGGCTAAAAATAAAGGGCTAGAAAAAGATATTCCATTCCAATGGAAACCAAAAAAGAGCAGGATCACTATACTTATATAAGACAAAATAGATTTCAAGACATAAACTGTAAGACAAGAAGTTCACTACATAATGACACAAGGGTCAATTTAGCAAGAGGATATGACAATTTTAAATATATATGTACCCAGATATATTAAGGAAATATTACTAGAGCTAAAGAGAGAAACAGGCCCCAATACCATAATAGCTGGAGACTTCAACAACTTACTTTCAGCATTAAACAGATCTTCCAGACCAAAAATCAACAAAGAAACAGACTTAATCTGCACTATAGACTAAATGGATATAATAGATATTTATAGAACATTTGATCCAAGAGCTTCAGAATACTCCTTTTCCTCAGCACATGGATCGTTCTCAAGGATAGATCATATATTAACTCACAAAACAAATCTTAAAACATTCAAAAAAGTTTGCATTATCAAGTATCTCCTCTGACCACAATGGAATAAAAATTAATAACAAGAGTAATTTTGGAAACTATAATACATTGAAATTAAACAATGTGCACATGAATGGCCGGTGGGTCAATGAAGACATTGAGAAGGAAATAGAAAAATTTTGTGAAACAAATGATAATGGAAACACAACATCCCAAAATCTGTGGGATACAGCAAAAGCGGTACTCAGAGCGAAGTTTTTAGCTTTAAGTGCCTAAATCAAAAAAAGAGGAAAAACTTCAAATGAACAATCTAACAATCCATCTTAAAGAATTAGAAAAGCAAAAGCAACCCAAACCCAAAATTAATAGAAGGAAAAAAATAATGAAGATCAGAGCAGAAATAAATGTTGAAATAAAAAAATACAAAAGATAAGTGAAACAAAGTCAGTTTTTTGAAAAGTTAAGCAAAACTGACAAAACTTTAGCCAGACTAACTTTGGAAAAAACAGAGTAGATACAAATAAAATCAGAAATGAAGAAGGAGACATTACAACTGCTACTGCAGAAATTCAAAGAGCCATTACTGGCTACTATAAGCAACTGTAGGCCAATAAATTGGAAAATCTAGAAGAAACGGACAAATTTCTAGTCATACAACCTACTAAGATTGAGCTGGGAAAAAATTCAAAACCTGAACAGACCGATAACAAGTAATGAGATTGAACCCATAATAAAAAGTCTCCCAGTAAAGAAAAGCCCAGGACCCAAAGGCTTCACTGCTTAATTATATCAAACATTTAAAGAACTACTATCAATTCTACTCAAGCTATTCTGAAGAACAGAGGAGGAAAGAATACTTCTAAACTTATTCTATGAGGCCAGTATTACCCTGATACCAAAATCGGACAAAGACAAATCGAAAAGAACTACAGGCCAATATATCAGATGAATATTGATGCAACAATCCTCAACAAAATACTGGCAAACTGAATTCAACAATAGATTAGAAAGATCACTCATTATAACCGAGTGTGATTTATCCCTGAGATGTGAGGATGGCTCAACATATGCAAATCTATCAATGTGACACATCATATTAACAGAATGGAAGATAAAAACCATATGATTATTTCAATTTTTGCTGAAAAAGCATTTGATAAAATTCAACATCCCTTTATGATAAAAACCCCCAAAAAACTAGGGATAGAAGGAACATAACTCAGCATAATAAAAGCCATATATGACAGACCCAGAGCTAGTATCATAGTGAATGAGGAAAAACTCAAAACCTTTCCTCTAAGATCTGGAACATGACAAGGATGTCCACTGTCACCACTGTTATTCAATACTGTATTGGAAGTCCTAGCTACAGCAATCAGATAAGAGGAAGATATAAAGGGCATCCAAATTGGAAAGGAAGAAGTCAAATTATCCTTGTTTGTAGATACTATGATCTTATATTTGGAAAAACCTAAAGACTGCACAAGAAAACTATTAGAACTGATAAGCAAATTCAGTAAAGTTGCAGGATACAAAATCAGCATTCAAAATCAGTAGCATTTCTATACGCCGACAGTGAACAGTGTGAAAAAGAAAAAAAAGTAATCCCATTTACAATAGCCACACATAAAATTAATTACCTGGGAATTAACCAAAGAAGTAAAAGATCTCTATAATAAAAACTATAAAACATTGATGAAAGAAATTAACAAGGACACAAAGAAATGGAAATATATTCCATGTTCATGGATTGGAAGACATAATATTTTTAAATTGCCCATACTACACAAAGCAATCTACAGATTCAATGCAATCTCTATGAAAACACCAGTGATATTCTTCACAGAAACAGAACAATCCTAAAATTTATATGGAACCACATAAGACCCAGAATGGCCAAACCTATCCTAAGCAAAAAGAACAAAACTGGAAGAATCACATTACCTGATTTCAAATTATACTACAGAGCTGTAGTAGCCAAAACAGTGTGATATTGGCATAAAAACAGATGTATAGATAAATAGAACATAATGGAGAACCCAGAAACTAATCCACTCACCTAGAGTGAACTCATTTTTTGACAAAGTTACCAAGAACATACACTGGGCAAAAGACAGTCTCTTCAACAAGTGATGTTGGGAAAATTTGATATCCACATGCAGAAAAATGAAATTATACCACCATCTCTTGCAATATGTGAAAATCAAATCAAAATAACAAATCTAAGACCTCAAACTATGAAAACACTACAAGAAAACACTGAGGAAAATCTCCAGGACATTAATCCGGGCAAAAATTTATTGAGCAATACCCCACAAGCACAGGCAACCAAAACAAACAAACAAAAATGGGCAAATGGGATCACATCAAGTTAAAAAGCTTCTACAAAGCAAAGGATACAATCAACAGAGTAAAGAGACAACTCACACAATGGGAGAAAATATTTGCAAACTACCCATGGGGATTAAACCAGAATATATAAGGAGCTCAAACAACTCTGTGGGAAAAAAAATCTAATAATCTGATCAAAAAAGGGGCAAAAGGTTTCAAAAGATATTTCTCACAACGACATACAAATGGCAAACAGGCACATGAAAAGGTGCTTAACATCATTGATCAGAGAAATGCAAATCAAAAATACAATGAAATATCATCTCACCTCAGTTAAAATGGCTTATATCCAAAGACAGGCAATAACAAGTGCTGGTGAGGATGCAGAGAAAAGGGAACCCTTGTATGCTGTTAGTGGGAATGTATATTAGTACAACCAATATGGAGGATAGTTTAGAGGTTCCTTAAAAACTAAAAATTGAGCTACCATATAATCTACCAATCCCCTGATGGGTGTATACACAAAAGAAAGGAAATCAGTATATCAGAGATATCTGCACTCCTATGTTTGTTGCAGCACTGTCACAGCTAAGATTTGAAAGCAACCTAAGGGTCCATCAGCAAATGAATGGATAAAAAAATGTGGTACACATACACGGTGAGTGTACATACACACTATTCAGCCATAAAAAAGAATGGAATCCAGTCATTTGCAACAATATGGATGGAACTGGAGATCATTATGTTAAGTGAAATAAGCCAGGCACAGAAAGACAAACCACATATTCTTACTTACTTCTGGGATCTAATAATCAAAACAATTGAATTCATGAACACGAGAGTAGAAGGATGGTTACTGGGGGCTAGTAAGGGTGGGTTGGGGGGCTTGGAGGGAGGTGGGGATGGTTAATGGATACCAAAAAGTAGAATGAATAAGACCTACTATTTGATAGCACAATAGGTTGACTATTATCAATAATAACTTAATTATACATTTAAAAATAACTAAGAGTGTAATCGGATTATAACTCAAAGGATAAATGCTTGAGAAGATGAATACCCCATTTTCCATGATGTGCTTATTTCATATCGCATTCCTTTATTAGAACATGTCACTTAACTTGTAAATTATATACATTTACTATGTACCCACAAAAATTAAAAATATTTTAAAAAGAAACCATTAAAAACCCAGCAAACTTACCTATATCTGTACTCATCTTTTTCCTCTTTCCTATTTCATCAGAGAAGTCATAACATCTAAATCTAGTTTTTCCCAGTATATGAGGAATGTGCCTCAACACAATAAAGGCTTTATATGACAAACTCACAGCAAACATTATTCAACAGGAAAAACTTGACAGCTTTTTTATTTAAAATGAGGAACGACATAAAGATGGCTTCTCTTACCACTTCTATTCAGCATAGTACTGTAAGTCCTAGGCAGAGCTATTAGGCAAGAAAAAAAATAAAAGGTATTGGAATTAGAAAGAAATTGTGTTTTTCAGATAACATGATCTTATATTAAAAAAAAAACTCGAGAGACTCCACCCAAAAACTGTTAGAATAAATTCAGTAAAGTTGCAGGATACAAAATCAGTATACAAAAATGTAAGTAGCATCTCCATACACTGACAATCTGAAAAAGAAATTGAGAATACAATCTCATTTTTAATAGCCACAAAAATAATAAAATACTTAGGGATAAATTTAAACAAGAAGGTAAAAGGCCTATATACTGAAAACTGTAAAATACTGATGAAAGAAATTGAAGACACAAAGATTTCCCATGTTTATGGACTGAAAGAATACTATTTAAATATCCATACTACAAAAGTGATCTATAGATTTAATGCAATACCTAGTAATAATTAGCTTAACTTAGCCATTCTACAATGTATACGTATTTCAAAACATCATTTTGTACGTGATAAATATGTATTTTATTTCTATTAAAAATAAATAAATAGAAAAAAGTAAATGTAGTTCTTCCACTGATGCTTTTGTTCGGACTCTTCCTGGTTTTTCAGGAACTGCATCCTACTGTCCTTTCTTTGTGATATTGATTCTTCCTAGAACACGTTCAAGTCTCACAGATGAACCTTCCTTCGAACCCTCCTCTTATTGCCCCTTTTATCTTCTCCCCTTCACAGACTCTTTTCTGGCCCATTTTCTTATTTTCTACTCATTCCTCAATGTACACCCCACCCTCCAATCGATCCACCAAAGCAGTTCTTTCAAAGGTTACAGATGGCCTCCATAACTTTAAGGACCAGTTTAAGAATGTTTCCAAATCCATTCCACTTGGCTCCTTCCACTGACCCCTAGTCCTGGCCATCATCATCGCTTGCTGGAATTATTTTAAGAGCCTATCAACTGGTCTTTTTCAGTCTGACACTGTCCATCACAATTCATTTCTGGAATTACGGTAGGTATAATCTTTTCAAGACAGAAACCAAAACATTCCTTACCCGCCCATTGATCCCAGGACAAATACCCAAATTCTTAGCAAGGACAAAATGGTTTGTTGGTATGGCCCACTGGCTGCCTCTCCAGACTTGTACCAGAATTTTTTTCGTTTTTGGCTTTTTAAAAAATCTCTTTTCTCCAGCCCATCTGGTCGTTTTTCAGTTTCTCCTGCTACAGAGGCTTAATATGTTTGCCTCAAACTTCCTGCTCACCAGCCCTTTTCTCATTAATTCCTACCTATCCTTCAGATTTCGCCTCTAGTCACTTAATACCACAATCGAGATCAGCTTTCGTGTAATATGTCCTCACAGAATCATGTTCTTTTTTTCGGACAATCCCAGTTTGTAATTATTAGTGAGGTTTTTAAAATATTCATCTTCCTCAGTCTCCCCGTAAGCTTCATGAAAGTATAGATTGGGCTTCTTTTTACTCACAATTGTGTCTCCACCATGTATTCCTATATCCTATGCCTTAATTTATCAATTTTTAAAAAATAGAACTCTAAGATACTCATTATCTTCTTTTATTCTCCCACTTTAAAGTTGGATCTCTGGTTGAATCCACCATGGAGGTGCCAGAGGATAGAGAGTAGGCTAAAAGAGATAAAGTAATATGGAGCTTATAACCTGTTTTCAAGTTTTCTGGGTTGTACTTGGGCTAAGATTAGTGGTCTCTGACTCCTCTGTATTGTGCTGAGAACCTAAGAATCTATGACTTTCAGGGGGATGAGTTATAGAACAATTACACTGGTCACTCTTTCATGCGATTTCTCCATTGAGTAACCTATGTCACAATATTCAGACTCCCCATCCTTGACTGCAATGTCTTTTGGAACTGTAGTTTATATACCCAATGGAGAAGCAGCCCTCCATTGCCAGCTGCTAATCTTTGTTTACCTTGCCTCATATGTTATCCCTTCCTTCCCATTGTGCTCCATGTCCTCTCTTCCATAAGACAGTACCCTTCTGGTGTAAATAATTCTAGAGAGGTTAGGTGTGATAAGATCATGCCTTTTATTTCTTACAACTGGACTTCTCCATGGACCCATTTAACATCATACATGAGGGAAAGAAACACACACACACACAAAATAAAAAATTTTTAAATATAATTTCCAATGTATTTTTCTGGGTAGATTTAGATTTAGATTTACGTGTATTTATGTATAGCTCTCTAAATGTGCTTTGTTGCTCTTCCGTATAAATTATTTGTGTATCAGGTTTCTACAACACATACCCTGCCTTACAGCAAACACACATAAATATTGATTGACATCTCTAGAAAACTTTTATCACTGTCAGCAACAGATTTAGGTTTCCCTGAATACAGAAACATCACTTAAACCAAATTTTTGCTTTGCAATCTATACTAATATATACAGCATATGCCATTATTTTGTATACCCAAAGAGATGCTCAGAAGGTTGTATTCATAAAGTGAGTTAGTATAAAACAAGAAATTCTGCCTCCTACAAAACAATTTATCTTTCCTCTTTTCTCACTCTTCAGTTGAGGAGATGACTATGAACTTCTGAAAGCTTGTTAATGTATTACTTATGAAAGAAGCTTTAAAAAAGTTGCTTGATGTATCTTTTGGAGTCGGGAAGTGCATGTCCTTACATCAAAGAAATAAAGCAATGAATAGAAATCTTGTCCACAAGCACAAGGAGATAATGTCATTATCAATTGAAAGATTCCATTTTCCTGGAAAATTACAAATGTACCTTTCCCAAATTACTGATCCAATGATGCATTAGATAAAAACTATTTTTATTTGATCATAAATTCAAGTATTCAGTATAATGTAGAAACTCAAAAGGTATTACTCTACTAAGTTACTGTTTATTGTGTGATATATATGCACTGAGAATAATTATAAATAAAAGTTCTGTATATAAATAAAATTTTCTAGACTACTGAATTTACTCCCTTTTGTAAACTTCTTCAAAACAGTGAATTTTAAAAGCTGGTCAAGCAGAAGTTAATTTTTGGTCAAACTTATAGAAAAGTATTTTTCTGAACCAATGATATTATGCTTATGGAAATAAAAGGTGTTTTTTTTTTTTTTAGACAGAGTCTCGCTCTGTCGCCTGCAAGCTCCACCTCTCGGGTTCATGCCATTCTCCTGCCTCAGCCTCCCGAATAGCTGGGACTACAGGCGCCCGCCACCACGCCCGGCTAATTTTTTGTATTTTTATTAGAGACAGGGTTTCATCATGTTAGCCAGGATGGTCTCAATCTCCTGACCTCGTGATCTGCCCACCTCTGCCTCCCAAAGTGCTGGGATTGCAGGTGTTAGCCACTGCGCCCGGCCAGAAATAAAAGGTTTTACCTAGTGGTATAAAAACATGCAGATGAGGTTAAATGCTTTATAGCATCTTTTTACACTGGCTCACCTATCTTGGCTGCCTGGTTGCACAAGTATCCTTTTGAGTCATCCAGTGGGGCAGTATTGTCAACCACCTTAATATTTCCCAATATCAGAGAAATTTATTCCCTAATAGATGTTCTAACAATTCCCTCAAAACTTAGCTCTTCTTTTATAATGCAGTTACACTGTCTATCTAATAAAGCTTGATCAATACTATTTCTTCAATTACTAAAGTGTTCAGATATAAAGTTTAATATTACAGTGAAAACCATATACCCAACATCTAGATTCTAAAATGAACATTATCTATTATAGTTTATTTATTACATATCTGTATGTATCCTGCTATCAATACATAAATCCACCTAACTTTTGAGGTTTCAAAGTACAAGGATTGGTATAGTTACTCCATAATACTTTGATGTGCATACATGAAGTCCCATCTTCGTTTTTTCTTTTCAGATACATTTTACATACAATGAGATGAATGTTTTTAAAATGTACCATTCTATAAGTTTTGGAAAGAGAATTTATCTGACTTTTATCCCTCTTAAGATAAAGAATGGCCTAGAAAGTTTCATGCCCCTTCTCAGTCAATCCTACTTCTCAGAGACAAGTTCTATCCTAGTTTTCAACAATTATTAGTTTTGCCTGTCCTAGAAATTTACATAAATCGAATCACACAGGATATAATAGTCCCCTATTATCCATGGGAGATACATTCCAAGACCTCCAGTGACTGCTTCAAACCACAAATAGCACCAAACCACATATATGCTATGTTTTTCCATCTGACAACCTAGACAGGCACTAAGTGATTAACAGATGGAGGGCATGTACAACGTGGGTATACTGGACAAAGGGACGGATTCATGTCCCATGTGGGAGAAAGTGGAGTGGCAGGACATTGCAACATGCTACTCAGAACAGAACACTATGAAAAGTGTTTATTTCTGTAACTTTTTATTATTTTTAGATTGTGGTTGACCACAGGTAACAAACTACAGAAAGCAAAGCCATGAATAAGGAGAGGCTTCTGTATGCTCTTTTGTGTAATGCCTCTCTACTCAACATACTATTTTTGAGATTCATCCATATAGTTGTACAAGTCAATAGTTTCTTTCTTTTATTGCTAAGTAGTAGCTCATTGAATGAACATATCGGTTTATCTATCGCCTACTGATATACACTTGGACTCTTTCCAGTATTTGGCTCTATGATAAAGTACCATAAGTGTTCCTATAGAATTTGTTTTTCTTTCAATTATTCTAGTAAGTATGCAGTAGTATCTCATTGTGATTTTAATTTTCTCCGATGTGAACTAATGTTGAACTTCTGTTCATGTACATACTTTTACTGAAGTGCTTTTCTAAAATGTTGCCAGTTTTTTGTTTTTGATATTGAATTGTAAGAGTTCTTTACATAACTTGCATACCAGTACATTTAGATATATGTTGCATAAATATACTCTCCCAGTCTGTGGCCTGCCTATATATTTTCTTAATGATGAATTTTGATGATCAGAAATTTTACATTTTGACAAGTTCCATTTATCATTTTTTATTGTGCTTCTAATGTCACATTTGCAAACTTTTGGATGTACCCTAGGTCACAAAGATATTCTCTTATGGTTTCTTCTAAGAAAATTATACAGCCAGGCGCGGTGGCTCACGCCTGTAATCCCAGCACTTTGGGAGGCTGAGGAGGGTGGATCACAAGGTCAGGAGATCGAGACCATCCTGGCTAACACGGTGAAACCCTGTCTCCACTAAAAATACAAAAAATTAGCCGGGAGTGGTGGCGGGCGCCTGTAGTCCCAGCTACTCGGGAGGCTGAGGCAGGAGAATGGCGTGAGCCTGGGAGGTGGAGCTTGCAGTGAGTTGAGATCACACCACTGCACTCCAGCCTGGGCAACAGAGCGAGACTCCGTCTCAAAAAAAGAAAATTATACACTTAGAGCTAAGATCCATTATCAGTCAATTTTTATATAAGGTATGAGATTTATATTCAGGTTGATTTTCTTGCACATGGGTATCTAATTGTTCCAACACTGTGTGCTGAAAAAAACACATTCTTTCTCCACTGACTTTCTTCTGTAACTTTGTTAAAAATTGATCATATTTGTAAGGGTCTATTTTTGGACTCTCCATTGTTCCAAGATTTATGTGTCTGCATTTTTATATCATCATGACTTGAGTGTTATAGGTTTATGGTAAGTCTTAAAAAGAAAACACCGTCATTCCTACAACTCTCTTCTTTTTCAATATTGATTTAGCTATTTTAGTTTCTTTGCCCTTCCATTTAAACATTAGAATCAGCTTATTTATAGCTACAAAAAAATCCTATTGGGATTTCAATTAGAATTGCATTAAATATATAGTTAATTTGGAGAGAATTAACAGATTTAAATGCTGAGTCATCCAATCTATAAACTCAGTGTTAGTCACCATTTATTTCAGTCTACTTTGAGTTTTCAGCATGTACATCTTGTACTTTATGTATTTTGTACTTGTTTTATGTATCTCTACATATTATATATCAGAGACTATCGTAGATGGTATTGTTTTTAACTTTAATTTGTAATTGTTCACAACTAATGTATAGAAATATGATTGTTTTGTATGTTGACCTTGCATCGTTTGACCTTGCTAAATCACTTGTAAGTTCTAGGAGATTCTTTACAGACTATCACAGTCTAACATAGGCTATCATATAATCTACAAATCAGAGCATTGTTTATTTCTTCCTTTACATTCCATATGCCTTTTGTTTCCATTTCTTGCTTTATTGTGCTGGCTAAGGCTTCCAGTACCATGTTGAATAGAAGTGGAAAGAGTGGTCATTCTTGCCTTGTACCTGATTTTATGGGTAAAGTAGTCTGCCACCATCAAATATTATGTTAGATGTAGGATTTTTATTATGCTTTTTATCAGTTTGAGGAATTTCCCTTCTCAGTTTGTTGAGTTTTTACCATAAATATTTAAATATTTCTCTACATCTAGTAGTAAGTCTATCCTTCTTTAGACTATTAAGATGTACATTAATTGAAATTTGAATATTGAGCCAGTTTTGCATTCCTGGAATAAATATCAAAATTTGTTTTTTTAGATTTTATTACTAGATTATATTTGCTAAAATTTTGTGGAGGATTTTTGTAACTATGTGTATGAGAAATACTGGATTGTTGTTTTCATTTTATTTTACTTTCTCTGTTTTTGGTATTAGAGTAATGTTGGCTTCATAAAATTGGTTGGCAGAATGCTCTTCTGTGTTCTGCAAAAGTCTGTGTAGAGTTGAAATTGTTTAAATGTTGGTAAAATGTACCAGTGAAACCATCTAGGCCTGGTGGTTTCTTTTGTGAAAGGATTTTGACTTCTAATTGACTTCTGACTTCTTTTGCCCTAATTTAAATAGCTATAGGATTACACAGATCATCTACTTAGTTTTGGAAGTTTGCAGTTATCAAGGAATTGGTCTAACTTTTTTTTTCTTTCTTTTTTTTTTTTTTTTTTTTGAGACAGAGTCTCGCTCTGTGGCCGAGGCTGGAGTGCAGTGGCATGATTTCAGTTCACTGCAATCTCTGCCTCCCAGGTTCAGGTGATTCTCCTGCCTCAGCCTCCTGAGTAGCTGGGACTACAGGTGCACGCCACCACACCCAGCTAATTGTTGTATTTTTACTAGAGACGGGTTTTCACCATGTTGGCTAGACTAGCCTTGAACTCCCGACCTCAGGTGATCCACCCACCTCAGCCTCCCAAAAAGCTGGGATTACAAGCATGAGCCACCATGCCCAGCCAAGGAATTGGTCTAATTTATTGAAGTTTCAGATTTATGTGTGTAGAATATTTCTTAGTATTTATCCATCAACTCTCTATGGAAAGTGTAGTTATACCTCTTATTTCTTTTCTGATAGTAGAAATTTGTATCTGGTCTCCTTTTCTTGTCAGTTTTCTAAGAAGTTTATTAATTTTATTAATTTTTTGAAAGAACCAGCTTTGGTTTGACTGATTCTAATGTTTTTCTGTTTTTCACTTCATGATCTCTGGTCTTACATTTATTCCCTTCCTGCTGCTTGCTTTGAATTTACTTTGCATTTTACCTTGAGTCTTGAGGGGAAAGCTTAAATATTTTCATATGGCTTGTAGGCTAATTTCTTTTTATTTTAAAAATTGTTAAACAAAATACAAAGAGTATGGAATAAGACTTTATATGGCTAAAAAAGCACACAAAAAAATTGCTATGTGGCCCTTTGTAGAAAACATATACCAAACCCTGCATCAAATTTTTGATTTGAAACTTACCTTCCTAATATAACATTTAGTGCTATGAGTTTTCCTCTCAGCACTGATTTAGCAGCACTTTATAGATTTTTATGTTGAATTTTCATTTTTATTGAATTCAATACAAATCACAATTCACTGACAGGTCTTCTTTTGCCCATAGACTATGTGGAAAAACTTTGTTTAAATTAAAAGTAAAGAGATTTTCTGGTTATCTTTTTGGTGCTAATGCCTATTTAATTCTATCACAGAAAAACATACTTGCATAATTTCTATGCTTTTACATTTTTAGGTTAGTTTTATGACTCAAGATATACCTTGATGAATGCTTTGCATGCAGTTTTAAAGAGTATGCATTCTGCTGAAGTTGTGTGGGGTATTTTCTAAATATCTATTTAATCCAATTGGTAGATGGTGTTATTAGTTATTATACATCCTTGCTAATTTTGTATTAGTTCCATAGATTACTGAGAGGTAATTCAAGTCTTCACTTATAATCATGCATTTGTGACTTCTACTGTTAGTTCCATCCATTTTTTTTTACACATCTGTACTTCATGTATTATGAAGATCTTTTATTTGGTATATAATCATTTAGGATTGTTATGTCTTCTTGATGGATTGACATGTTTTTTCCTAATAATTATCTTTGCTCTGAAGACTAGTCTGATATTAATAAAAACTGAAGTTTTCTTTTGATTAGTATTTAATATGGGTTTTTCTCAATGCTTTTAACCTATCTATAAAATTATATGCAAAGTGTTGCATGAGTGACAAGGTTTTGTCCCATAGTCTCTGAAAATCCCGTAAGTGTAAGATTGGGATGTTTAACTCCCTTTTTGGACACTGAAAATCATGGTGGGTACATTGATGGAGGATACATGGTGGAGACTCTGAATTTTGCCTTCCTCTGAAGAATAATTCTCATTTTACTAAGCAATTAACTTGGCTGGATTCAAACTTCAAATTCAGGCTTCCCTGTTTATATCTATGACAGTGATTCCAATAAAGCAAATAGAATCTCTGCTCAACCTCTTCAGCTTCAAGTTTCTGAGTTTGCAGCAGACCTTGCTATTTCTTCCTGCAATCGCATAGTTTAACAATTAGCCAAGAATTTTGGTGACTTTTACATGCGGATTTTGGAGCTCCTACCTATATGATCTCTTCCAAGATTCTCTGCCCCTTAATTTTTATCTGCTTTGCCAGTCTCAAATCTATCTTCTACTGACAAAAAGTCAGTAGGCATGTCAATCCATCAAGAAGACATAAGAATCCTAAATGATTATATACCAAATAAAAGATACATTATTTTCAGTTTTCTGATGCCCTGAGCCATGGGGACTTTAGGGAATGCACCAGACAAAAATGCTTTAAATTTACACATATAACTAAGGTCTTGTCTTTCCTGTTTTTCAAATGAAGAATCCCCTACAGTTTCTGCCAGATTTTAACCACTAGCTAGCACATTCATATAGTTTGGTGATTTTACATATATATCCTAGATTTTATATCTGGTATCTTAGTTTTTGTTGTATGTGCTAGAGGTTTAGTCTGACCATGCCACATTGCTGTTACTGGAATCTGTAAGCTCCCTGTACCATTTATTCTGTGTGTGTCGATATCACATATTATAATCAGTGACCATCAGGGAAAGCTGTCATTCAGGCTTTGGATCTGCCTCTTGTTGTTTTATGCACAGTTTCACTCTAGAGGAAGATATTTACAGACGGAAGCAGCTAGCCAGCAGTCACCAGGAATACTGAGACTCCTTCACTAAGTCAAGAGGAGCCAGCCCTTTAGTCTGATTCACAGGTCAAAGTGTTAACATAGCTGGACAGAACATACTCCTGATTACCTAAAGGAAGAACATAAGAGCATTTCCTTTTGGGCTTATGCAGAATCTTGACCCTATTCCGGAAATCTCCTGATAATATTTCTATGTGAAATTAGATTAAAGATATCCACATTCAAAACTTTCATCATCTGTTGGTTTCCTGTTCTCCTCTTTTCTGGAGACACTGAAATTCTTCCATATTAGCAAAGGGAGATAGTAAATAATAGAAATATAATGGCTTGATACTTAAAATGTGTTATGTGGATCAGCAGTGTTAGCATCATCTGGCAACGCTTTAGAAATGCAGAAACTCAGGCTTTATAAATCCACTGAGTCAGAATGTGATTTTAACGAGATTCACCAGATGATTCTTAGGCATATTAAAGTCTGAGAAACACCAAGCTAAAACACAGGCTGCTTGGAGAAGAGCTTCTTAAATTATCAAAGGATATTATTTGTTATTCATGACAATCATAGACTAATACCAATAATATACAATAGAAATCAGTATAAAATATATAATATCTATTTTATTAGATTCAATAAACAGAATCATTATAAAAAATCAGATCATACATTAAAAACAAAAAGAATCATAAAAACTATTCATTGAAATAATGCCTTTTAGATTATTAATATTCACATATAAAACACTAAACATCTGTTGACTTTATAATTCACTACCTACTCTTTCAAGTTATTTTGTTTGAATTTATTTTATAATGCTTTGTATAAAAATTCCACCTAGGTTTTGGTGATTTCATTGCTTTATTAGCCAGTCAATCTCGCAAATAATACATTGTAGTTTTCTCATTTCAAATGTATTTACAAAATGGAATTAAATGTATGAAATCTTTTTGTCTATGTCTTCAGAATCACTTCCATTTTTACTCCTTGCCTTATTACTATTGCTACATGCAGAAAGGGATATCTTTGCTTGACAGAGATTCCAGTGAAGTTTGCTTTGCCATGTACAAATTGTTCAAAATAAATAATTCAAAACTTCCTTCCTTAGTTACTAGTTGCAAACAATAAATGTGGAAAAATATCTGATTATTCAAAAATCAAAATGGTAATGAAATATTAAGTTATCAAAATGTTTACTTTTTTTCATATTCGTGTACCTTTTGAATGCGAGATGACAGACTAACCTTAAAACATCACATCTCAGAACATTGTCTTACAAGACATAGTAGTATGCAGTTTGTACCATATGAAAACCATACCATGAATTCAACAACTGAACTGGTATAGATCCTGTTCAGAAGGAGACATCCACCAGCCATTCTCTTGGCTGTCACAATAATGTCTAATTACTATAAAAATATGCAAATGCTTACTCTCAAGTATAGTATTTATCTTTTTGCAGATCTGTAACAGGGTTGGTTGTATTCATCAATCCACATACCATACTCTAAGCAGCATTGTTCTCAAGTACTCAAATTAAATTCTGACCCAGTATACCAAGAAAATGGGCATTCCTCATTTTCATATCCACTGTTTTTCATGTAACAATGCTGAGTAATAAACTAGATGAGGCAGTGTAGATACAGCAGCTTTGTGATTTATGTCTATAGCTGCCTAACTAGAGTCCACTTGAGAAATGACAGGTTAGTACTCCAAAACTTCAAGACATACAGATTTGGATTTGCAAATTAAATTTAGATCATAAGTTCCCTTTTCCTAAGTTTCTCCTCTACTCTCCCCCAATCCCTTATCGAAATCTCACTTAATATGGTTCTACAGTATTCTCCATCCTAAGGTCATATTTGACCTATACCTCTGGCTCTTTCAATTTTTATTTCATTACATTATAGAGATTAGATATTCCATTTCTATTGTGCCTCACCAATAATTTTATATGTTAAACAAATCTATGCATATTTGCATTTATTCTGCTTCTTAGATGAAGCTGGTTTTTCCTTAATATTTTTATTTGTGTGTTCATTTCTAAACACTCAGACCATCTTCAATGCTTTATTTTAATTACCATAACAAGACCAATAATTTCAGGCTTCTGTGACTTTAGATCATAGTCTGACAATAAATGGAAGACAATTCCACTGAAGGAGGGGCCTGGCAGGTAATGGCAAAGGAGGGATACTAAATGTCTACTACTTAACAAGCCACTTGAGTACAGCGTCTCACTGCCACCAGTACTCTCAGTGAGGTACTCAATTACCTTATTGACTGGAGTGTTGTCTGCTAGTTCTTCCAAAGGCTTCAAAAATCTTTGAATTGACCAAATCATAAGACATTCCCTACAGCATTCAGAATGCCAAATGCCTTGGAGAAATGGAAACAATGGCTATTTCCTGCTTATATAACATATATTGTCATCTGGCTTCCGAAGCTGCACTACCTAGTCTCAAAGAATACTTAGTGAAAGAGACTTTGGACCTCCTTCTGTAATAATTTAAGGGGTGCATTAGGAAGATAAATCCAGAAAGAAAGAAATAGAACAGCATGAAAAAGAATAGATTGGAAGTAGGAATATTATGATAGGATTCTGATTAGAAGTAATGGGGGCCTGAATTAATGTAGAAGGACAAGAGAGAACAGAACAGTTTTGGGAAACATTACATAAATTGATTGAATATAGGATAATAGGGAAAGCATGTCTTTAGAGAGAGAAAAATGTTGAAAGAGTAATTTAGTATATTTTTAAGTAAATAAAATTTGAGGTGGCACTGAGATTCAAGTGGTATCCATAAATTTAGATATCTGTATAATAAAAATCCCTAAAAGATGTGAAATAATGGCAAGTAAAGGCATTCAGATAAAATTGTGGGTAAATCATAAAAACAGCAATCCTAAGTAATGACTAACTAATAAGTCAAAAAATAAATGGATGTTTGTTTTCATGCCCAAAGGGTATTGAATTACATGAATTATAGCTTTAAACAATGTCCTACAATGCAGCATATGATAAAACATGGCAATAAAATATATAAAAAACAAAATTAATCAGAAAAGCAGTAAGACTGTAAGACCCCAAGAGAGCAAAATAGTCTAATAGGCAAAAAGTTGAAGCAAATAATCCATACAAAAGGAAATATAGCCAATGAACATTTGAAACATTCCATTTTACTAAAAATAAAAGAAATTCAAAGAATTAAGATTTCTATACCTAATACTCTTAAGCTTAACAAATTAGCAAAGATGTTTAAAATATTGTGATTCCTCTAAGTTGGGGAATATATGATAATGCAGACTTAGCTATTCTGGTACAATACTCCTAAAAAGCAATTTAAAAATACATACATCAAAAGGCCTAAAAGTGTTTATGTCTGGAATTATACTGCTAGACCCATCCTATGGAAACTATCAGAAATAGGAAGACTTAAGCATAAAGTTCATTACAACTTCATCTATAAAATCAAAAAATGTGGGGGGATCCTAAATACCCCATAATATTGCCTTGCTTATTTCTAAACACTTTTATAGTAGATAGTATCTTCCTGAATTTTGAAACATATTAGGTACATATTGTTGCATAAATAACGTAGACTTTAAATTTTATGAATGTGGAAAAATGGTTCTAATGTAATATGAAAATGGACAAGCAAAATAATGCATACGTATTATGTATAATAATTACATTTTGTTATATTATGTATAACATACACGAGAGAAATTCACTAACATGTATATGTAACACTTATATGTAGTTATTTGAAGATTTTATAACTAGCAGGAATATCATTCTTTTGTGTTTCTACGTTTTCCAGTGTATATTCATGATATTGCAATAAGTAAATTTTATAGCTGAATAGTAATCATCTATGTTATGAATAGATCAGTTTGTTGATCCATTGTGGCAGCCATGGAGGTGTGCTCCTCAAGTCTACCTTCAGGAAACAAGCAAATGTGAGGAGTGTAGGGAACTGACAGCCTCAAGTTGCAATTCTTTACAAGCTGTTCAGTATTTGAGATGAGTCATCCTTTTTCTGGGTGGCACCGGGTGATGACTGAACACAGCTTGTATTCTAGGGTTCAGCTTTTCACAGATGTGAGGCCCACATCATGTTCTTAAAGATTTTCTATCTTATTCCAGCTCTCTTGCCTTTTCATCTTTTACAGGTGTTTCCCCTAATACACTCTTGCAATACTCTGTTTTGGCATCCACTTCCAATAGGACATAAACCAACAAATCCATTCACGTGTTGATGGATATTTGAGTTGATTCCACTCTTCAGCTATTATAAATAAAATTGCTATTTGTGTACAAGTAGTTTTGTGGGGCGTGGTGGGGGGATGCTTTTATTTCACTTAGATAACTATCAAGAGCGAAACTGCTGGGTCATGGGATATGTTTATGTGTAACTATTAGAAACTGCCCAGCTGTTTTCCAGAGTATCTGTACCTTTTTCACTCCCACCAGCAATATGAAAGTTGTGGTTGTTCCACGGCCCTAACACTATTTGATACTGTAAATTAAAAAAAAAAAAAAACATTTTAGTGGGTCTGCATAGGTCTCTCATTGTGGTCTTAATTTGTATTTTGCCGATGACTAATTATATTGAACATCTTTTCCTGTGCTGAACAACCATTTATATATCTTTCTTGGAGAACCATTTTAAAATTTCAGGCACTTTAAAAAATTTGGGCTGATGTTCTAATTATTGTATTACAGAAGTTTTTATATGTTCTAGAAAGTAGTCCTTTCCTAAAAATATGACTATTGTGAATATTTTCTCCTACTTTGTAGCTTGCCTTTTCATTTTCTTAATGGTGCCTTTTGGTGCCTTTTGAAAAGAAGGCTTTAACCTGATCAAGTACAATTTATAGTGTTTTTTTTCTTTTATGGTATTTTTTCATGCACAGCAATTTTCCTTTATTTTTTCAAGAATTCTTACAGTCTTATTTTTTGTATTTAAGTCTATAATCCATTTCAGATTAATGTTTGTTCAGTTTGAAGAAGTGTTGAGATTTTTCTTCTCTTACTATAGGTCGCCGGTTTACAATATTTGTTGAAAATATATGCATTATCTATTGATTAATATGTTTGGGCATATCTTCAAGAACACATTGACCTTGTGTATGTGGCTCTATTTCTGGAAAAGCTACTGTTTTGTTGATTCTAAAGTCTACCCTTACACCAATAACACACTGTATTAATTATCATAGTCTTATATAAAGTATTGAAATCAACTTTGCTCTTCTTTGAAAAATTGTTTTAGTTATTCTAGTTCAATTTAACTTCCAAGTCTGCTTGTCAGTTCTAGAATTTTTCTTTTTATGCTTTTAATCTGCTGATATTCCCTCTGTTCATTTATGAAGAGTATATGTCTCCTTAATTCTTTGAATACATTTGTAAAAAGAAAAGTCAAGAAAAGACCCATAAATAACTCATCTAGTATAATAATTGAAGAGTTTAAAGCCGCTACTATATATGTCTCTTTCCATATATTCTAATAACTCAAGCTGTCATGAACTCTTTTTTTTTGACTTTATTATTCACTTTTAATTTTAAAGTTTCTATGACAAAGAGTTTCAAACAAAACAAAATTAGACAAGATAATAAAATGAATCCAGACATACTCACAATACTATAATACTAAAATATATCCACAATGTGCATCCCCAATAACCATTAACCCATGTACAATTTTGCCCTTCCCACATCCCATCCATATTGCCATCTACATTCCACCACTATACCTCTCCTACTATCATTTGTAAGCAAAATCCTTAAGTATTTGAGTATATGTTTCTAGAAGATAAGTATTTTTTTTCAAACAAAAGCACAATATTATTGTTGTACGTAAACATTTAGTAAAAATATTTCATATCATAAGTATTCAAATATTTAGCCGCCACAAATTTCTAATTGCTGATTAAATGACATAATTTTTTTATGTTGTTTGAAACAAGCTCTAATTTAGGTTCATACTTTGTGATTGATTAATGTCTTTTAAATCTTTTTTTTATTATTATTATTGTCATGAACTCTTAACAGCTGACTTCTCAGCTTAGCATGACTGCCATGCTCTACTTGGACCCTGGCTCACTGTGCTGTGGTCAGAATATTATTTCCAGGAAGATAGCTGGTCCGGTAATGGAGCTTACCTTCCGTTTTCCAGCTCTCAAAGATTGCACTCTTCTACTGCCTGCTGTGCAGTGCCTGAATACAGTTGCTTCATATATTTTGTTTAGTTTTATGATTGTTGACAAGAAGACGAACTACTCTAGCAGAGCTTTTTTCTTTAATCTGAAAATGCTAGATTAGGTTTGATGATGGCATCAGTTAATATTTCTAGGCCAGTGATATGTAATAGAACTTTCTATAATGATTAAAATGCTCTATATCTCTACTAACCAATAAGAGGCTACTAGCTGCATGCAGTAATTGACCACTTAAAATGTAGTTACTACAGTTGAGGAAGTGGATTTCTAATGTGTCATTTAATTTAGATAGTCACATGAGGCTAGTGGCTACCATCTTGGACAGTGCAGTTCTAAGTACGAGGGATAAAAGCATTTACCTTGAACCAGCATAAGTGCCTTATGCGAGTAACTTATGTTGATGTTGGTTACTTGAGTCAATTTTCTGGCTTGCTTTGTTTCTTACAGTTTGTTTGGTTCTCAAACATCTGCCCACCCCATCACCACAAATCGCTCTCTGATACGTGTGTTCTTCTTATATTTCAGTTTCGGCATTGCATCTGACATGATGCCAATCTTAACCTTCCCTCTTTTTTTTTTAATGTAAGTAATATATCTATTATAAGGAGAAACTGTGTCCCAATCATCCCTAAAATTCACAATAGCACTATGTGCTGTGCCTCATTATGACTGATTGTCTATTTTTGACATTTTGACTCTTAGGGTGAAACTGAAGGTTTGTACTTACAAGAGGATCAGAATTTAGATAAACATTGATTGACATTACTTGATTTTACCAAGAAATAATCAAGGGAAAAACTGTGTTTTCCTCATATAGTTCTAAATTTATGCCATTAGAATATTGTTAATACTAGATCAACTTTAATTGTAGCTGTTTTTTCCTACTTCAGAATTCCATGTGCAAGAAAGGGTAAAACTGAGTATTAATTTAGATCTAATTGGCCACTCTAATAAAAATTCAGATTTCGGTGTTTTAACATCTACCTAATATAAAGTAACATAAGTAAATATATACAAAACCTAGATATAGGAGAGTGGTGAAACAAGATGGTGGAAAAGGACTCTCTAGGGGTCATCCCCCTAAACACAAAAAAATCAATTTGAACAACTATCCATGCAGAAAAATACCTTCACAAGAACTAAGGAAATCAGGTGAAAGATCACAGAATCTGGTTGTAGCAAAGTAAGAAAAATTGAATTGAATGGAGTGGGAAGAACAGTTCTATAGGACTTTGAAAAGAGAGAAAGAAAAAAGCAGAAAGCTTAAGAAAATGTTAGCAGAAAACTTCCTAAACCTGGAGAAATATGTAAATATCCAGGTAAAGAAAGGTTAAAGATCTTCAATCATATTCAATCCAAAGTAACCCAAGACTTATAATCAAACCGTCAAAAATCAAAGAGAAGATCTTGAAAATAGCTGGAGAAAATAAGTAAATAATGTATAAGGTATTCCAATATTCTAGCTGATTTCTCAGCAAAAATCTTACAGGCCAGGAGAAAGTGAGATGATATACATGCAGATGTTCACTGTAGTACTGTTCACAATAGCGAAGATATGGAATCAACCTAAATGCTCATTCATGAAAGACTGGATAAAGAAAATATGGTACATATACACCATGGAATACTATGCAGCCATAAAAAAGAGTGAGATCATGTCCTTTGCAGGAACATGGATGGAGCTGGAGACCATTATCCTTAGCAAACTAACACAGGAACAGAAAACCAAGGACCCCATTGTCCTCACTTATAAGTGGGAGCTAAATGAGAACACATGTACACATAGAGCGGAACAACACACATTGGGGCGTTTCAGAGGGTGAAGGGTGGGAGGAAAGAAAGGATCAGGAAAAATAACTAATGGGTACTAGGCTTAATGCCTAGGTGATGAAATAATCTGCACAGAAAACTCCCATGACACAAGTTTAACCTATGTTACAAACCTTGACTCGTACCCCTGAACTCAAAAGTTTTTTTGTTTTTTTTTGTTTTTCTGGGGTTTTTTTAGTGTAAGGTGATATATTCAAAAAGCTGAAGGGAAAAAAAAAATTCTGTCAACCCAAAATACTGAACCCAGCAAAACTATCCTTTGGAAATGAAGAGATAATGACTTTTCCATATAAACAAAAGCTGAGGTAGTTTATCACCACCAGACTTGTGTTACAAGAATTTCTAAAGGGAGTTCAAGCTGAAAGAAAAGAGTGCTAATAAGTAACATTAAAACATCTGAAAGTACAATACTCACTTGTAAAATTAACTACAAAGTTAAATTTAGAATAATACTATAATGATGGTGTATAAATCACATATCTATAGTATGAAGGTTAAAAGACAACTATTAAAAATAATAGCCAGAATAATTTAACCCTTTTGGCATTTAGAAAAAGAGTATAGCTCGCTGCCAAGCTAATTTTAGATAAACACACTCTTTGAGGCAGAAGCAAATCTGACTCCCAATGTGAAAATAAAATATCAAAACTGTTCTTGAAGTTACTTCTAAACATAACTAATATCAGAATCATCTGAATCATCTGAGTCATCCAAATTATCTATTTAGGAAAAATTAGATTCATAAAATGAATCTTTGGCCAAGAACTGTTCGAAAACGATGTTAACATCCCGTGTAGAAATGCTGTCTTTTCTAGCATTTGACATTTTCAGCGAATGAGAATTACTCTATTTTTTAGATGAAAATCCCACTACTAAAAACAGAATGCTAAAAACAGAATTTTGTTTCCAAAGTTGATATACTAGAACAATGTGAAAATAATAATAAAAACAACATATTTCATGGCAAAGTTATCTCTGGATAATTCTGCAGCCACAAGCACTGCCGGTGAGTATCTCAGGAAAATGGGAAAAGAATTAAGGTATATGCAATATAAAAGATGTAAATTGTGAATAAAATATTCAGAATATTGGGGGAGGAGTACAGTAAAAGTGTACATTTTTATTGTGATCAAAGTTAAATTGTTATCAGCTTAAAATAACCTGTTATAACTATGTTTTTGTACGTATCATGGTAACCACAAAGCAAAACCTATAATAGATACTCAAAAAATGAAAAGCAAGAAATCAGAACCTACCACTAGAGAAAAATTACTAGGTCACAAAGAAAGATAGCAAGAAAAGGAAGAAAGAAACAAAGGCTCTAGAAAACAACTAGAAAACAGTTGACAAAATGGCATATATTTTTACTGTCGATAATTACCTTGAATATCAATGAATTAAATTATCTAATGGAATGACATATTGTGGCAGAATAGATTAAAAACATGATACAACTAAATATGCCTACAAGAGACTTGCTTCACCTGTAAGTATATACAAAGACTGAAAGTGAAAGGATGGACAAATATTCCATGCTAATAGAAACCAAAAGAGAGCAGGAATAGCTAGACTTATGTCAGACAAAACAGACTGCTAAGAAAGACAAAGAAGGTCTTTGACTATAATCAATAATACATGTTGATAAAGGAGTCGATTCATTAAAAGGATATGACATTTGCAAATAGATATACACCCAACATCAGAGCATCTAAATACACAAAGCAAATATTAATAAATCTGACTGGAAAGATAGATTGCAATACAGTAATAGAAGACCTCAACACTTTCAGCAGTGGACAGATCATCCAGACAAAAAAAAAAGGGAAAATCTTAACCTTAAAATACACTCTTGATCAAATGGACTTAACAGACATATATAGAATATTCCATGCAAAAGCAGCAAAATATGCATTATTCAATTACACATGAATAATTATCCAGTATAGATCATATGTTAGGCCACAAAATAAGTCTTAACAAATGTAAAAAGTTTAAAATAATATCAGATATCTTCCTAATCACAACGGTATAAAATTAGAGATTAATAGCAGAAGTAGCATTGGAAAATTCAAAACCACATGGAAATTAAACAACATACCCCTGAACAACAAATGGGCCAATTAAGGAATTAAATGGAAAATTGAAAAATTTATTGAGACAAATGAAAACACAACTTATCAAAACTTATGGGATGATGCAAAAGGAGTTCTATGGGGGAGCTTTATAGCAATACATACCTACATCAAAAAATAAGATCTCAAATAAACAATGTTGCACCAAAAGGACACACAAAAAATAAAATACTAAGCCCAAATTAAGAAAATAAATAATAAAGGTCAGAGCAGAAATAAATGAAAGACACTAGAAAAATAGAAAATTAATAAAACTAAGAGTTGGTATTTTTAAAAAAATATACAACAAACTTTTAGCCAGACTAAGGAAAAAGAAGAATGAAATAAAAACAGAAATGAAAGGGGAGACTCTACAACTGATAGCAGAGAAATACAAAGGATTATAAGAGACTATTATGAATAATTACATACCAACAACTTGGATCATCTAGAAGAGATGAATAAACTCCTAGACACATGCAATATACCAAGATTAAAGAGTAAAAAAAAAAAACATAGAAAATCTGAACAGACCAAAAAAAGTGAGGAGACTTGTTCAGTAATTAATGTTTCCCATCAAAGAAAACCCCAAGACCTGGTAAACCCACTGCTGAATTCTATTAAACATTTGAAGAAAAACTACTATCAATTCTTCTCCAAAACCAGATAACAACACTACAAAAGGAAGGAAGGAAGGAAGGAAGGAAAGAAGGAAGGAAGGAAGGAAGGAAGGAAGGAAGGAAGGAAGGAAGGAAGGAAAGAAGGAAGGAAGGAAGGAAGGAAAAAACTACAAGCAAATATTCCTGATGAACATAGATGCAAAAATCTAAAACCTAATATTGGTATACCTAATTCTATAGCACATTAACAAGATCATCCATCATGATTAAGTGGGATTCATCCCAGGGATACCAGGATGATTCAACACACACAAATCAATAAATGTAACGTATCATATTAACAGATGAAGGACAAAAACCATAGTATCAACTCAATAGATGCAAAAAAGGTATTTGCAAGATTTGACATTCTTTCCTAAATACTATCAAAAAAATTAGATTTAGAAGGAATGTACCGCAATATGAAAAAAGGCCATGTATGACCAAAAAACAGTTAACATAATTCTCAATGGGGAAAAGTTGAAGGCTTATCCTTTAAGAGCCTACATTCCTGTAAGACGTGGATGTCCACTTTTGCCACTTCTATTCAACATAGGACTGGAAGTCTTAGCCAGAACAATTAGGCAAGTAAAAGAAACAAAAGGCATCCAAACCAGAAAGGAAGAAATTAAATTGCCCCTACCGACAGACAACAATTAAAAAACCCTAAAGGCTCTACCAGAAATGGTTAGAATAAACAAATTCAGTAAAATTTCAGGATACAAAAATCAACTTATAATAAATTGCATTTATATACACTAACAGTGAACTATCTAGCTTACAAAAAATAAAATAGGAATATATTTAATGAAGGAAGTAAAATATCTCTATACTAAAAACTATAAAACACTGATAAACAAAACTGAAGACATAAAAGGAAAGATTCCATGTTGAAGGATTGGAAAAATATTGTTAAAATGTCCATAATACTCAAAGTGACTTACAGATTAAACAAAATCTCTACAAAAATACCAATGACATTCTTCACAGAAACAGGAAAAACACAATCCTAAAATTCATATGGAACCAGCAAAGACCCAAAATAGCCAAAGCAATCTTAAGCAAAAAGAACAAAGCTTGAGGCATCATACTGCCTGCCTTTAAAACCTACTACACAAAGCTGTAGTAATCAAAGCAGTATGACACTAGCATAAAAACAGACATACAGCCCAATGGAACAGAATACAGCCCAGAAATGAACCCACACATTTATAATTAGTTGATTTTGACAAAGATGCCAAGAACACACAATGGGAAAAAGACAGTCTTCAATAAACAGTGTTGGAACAACTGGATACCCACATGAAGAAGAATAAATTTAGATCCTTATCTCACACCATATAAAAATCATCTCAACATGGATTACAAACATAAATCCATTTTGTTTCCCTGTTAGGGGAAAACCTCTGTGACATTATCTGGGCAATGATTTTTGGATGGGACCCCAAAAACACAAAGCAACAAAAGTAAAAATAGACAAATGGGGCTGGGCATGGTGGAGCATGCCTGTAATCCCAGCACTTTGGGAGGCCAAGGTGGGTTGATCACTTGAGGCCAGGAGTTCAGGACCAACCCGGGCAACATAGCAAGACTCTGTCTCTACTGAAAATACAAAAATTAGCTGGGTGTGGTTGCATGTGCCTGTAGTCCCAATTACTCTAGAGGCTGAGGTGGGAGAATCACTTGAACCCAGAAGGTGGAGGTTGCAGTGAGCCAGGATTGAGCCACTGTACTCCAGCCCAAGAACAGAGCAAGACCCTCCCTCCAAAAAAATAAATAAATAAAAATAAAAAAATAAAAAATAAAGTGGGATTACATCAAACTAAAAAGCTTCTACACAGCCACAAAGACTATCAGAGTGAAGATACAACCTATGGAATGGGAAAAAATATTTATAAACCATATATCTGAAAATGGGTTAATATCTAAAATATATAAGGAACTCCAACAACTCAATAGCAAAAGACCAAATAACCTGATTTAAAAATGGGCAGGCCAGTCGCGGTGGCTCACGCCTGTAATCCCAGCACTTTGGGAGGCCTAGGCGGGCGGATCACGAGGTCAGGAGATGGAGACCACAGTGAAACCCCGTCTTTACTAAAAATACAATAAACAAACAAACAAAAAAATTAGCCAGGCACAGTGGAGGGCTCCTGTAGTCCCAGCTACTTGGGAGGCTGAGGCCCGGAGAATGGCGTGAACCCGGGAGGCGGAGCTTGCAGCGAGCCAAGATCGCGCCACTGCACTCCAGCCTGGGGCGACAGAGCGAGACTCCGTCTCAAAAAAAAAAAAAAAAAAAAAAAATTGGGCAAAAGATATAAATAGACATTTCTTGAAAGAAGCCATACAAATGGCCAACAGGTATCCAAAAAGTGCTTATCTTTATTAGAGAAATGCAAATTAAAACAAAGTATCACCTTACGCCTGCTAAAAAGGCCATTACTGAAAACATGAAAGTGCTAGTTAAGATGTAGAGAAACGGGACCCCTGCACAATTGTTGACAGAAATGTAAATTAGTACAGCTGTTATAGAAACACTATGGAGGTTCTTTAAAAAATTGAAACTATGCCATATGCTACAGAAATCCTACTACTGATATACATCCAAAGGATATAAAATCAGTATTTAGAAGACATATCTACACCCCTATATTTATTGCAGCATTGTTCACAATAGTCAAGATATGGAATCAACCTAAGTGACCATCAACAAATGAAAGGATAATTAAAATGCCGTATATATACACAATGGAATACTATTCAGCCCTAACAAAAAAGGAACTCTTGTCATTTACAGCGGCATGGATGAACCTGGAAGACATTACATTAGGTGAAATAAGCCAGGCACAGAAAGACAAACACTGCATTATCTCATTCATATATGGAATCTAAAAAGTTGAACTCAATAGAAGTAGAGAGTAGAATGGTGGTTACCAGGGTCTGGGACAGGTGGGGAGAGAATTAGGGAGATTTTGGTCAAAGGAAACAAAATTTCAGATACATAGAAGGAATAAGTTCAAAAGAACAATAGTTACCATATTGTGCAATAGATAATATGTTATATTCTAGGAAAATGCTAAGAGATTAGATGGTAAGCTCACCACGAAATAACTATGTGAGGTAATGCATATGTGAATTAGCGTGCTGTAGTCATTCTGCAATATATATATTTCAAAACATTATATTGTATACAGTACAATTTTATCAATTGTTAAAAACTAGGTTTCAAAGTGCACAATCATGAGGATTAAGTACATCTGTCTAAACAAATGAAATAACAGAAAACAGCTTATTATCAATAGTTCTTGATGTTTTTGCTAGCAAGTTAGTGTGTATAGCATGTATAGATTGTTGTTGCTTTAATAATTTGGCCACATAAAAGAAATGTGAATTTGACATTTACATGGACTATAGGTCACCTATTTTTTCTTTTATAGTGTGATAATTGTACGTCATTAAATATGTATATTGTCTGATGATTTCATTTTAATATTATGATTTATATATTTATGAACCTCTCTTCATATATAATTCTTACGCTTCACATTTTATTGTTTTGTGACAGTCATGTCTTTACTACCCAGAAAATTGAAAAGATGAAACTAGTGCATTCACTCCATGTATTTGTCACTATTGAAATATACTGTGTTTCTGTAAATAAAAATGATAATATCAATATCAATAAATATAAGAATATAAATGTGATTATATATTATATATAAATAATATAGCTTACTCCTTACTGTATTTTTGTACTTATTAACCAACCTCTCTTCACTCCCCACTTTTCCCAGCATTATATTACATGTACCTCATAAATACATAAAATTAAGAAAAATGATAAAAATAATTTATAGTTATTATCTAAAACACAAGACTGATAAAGAACATAAAATAGTTTTTCTATTTTCCATAATGAAAGCAGAGCCAGTGCTATTTTAAGGGAAAAAAGTTACTATCTTCTGTTTTACAAGGTACTCCTTATAATTAAACCCATTGGCTTACATTTGTGTCCATTTTCTCTTATTCTGTAGTCAGTGAAGATTTATAATGTAATAGTTACTATCCAGAGAAGCATTTTGACATTTTATTTTTTTAAGCCACCAAGCAACATGGAACTGATATTTTTAACATGACTTCTATACAATTTGAGTATGAGAATCCTTTTATAAGTGAAGCTGATTACTAGGAAAAAAATGACAAAACCAAACTGATACTTGATGTGAATTTATAGTAAAAGCTTCAAATCCAGCCAAGAAGTTGGTTATAATCTCTATCAGCTTTGCATTTGACTGTTAAGGGATCTTTCCATCAGCCTTGATATTGCTGAACAGGGCTTGGTGTTGGCTGATAACATTTGCCAAGAAAGCGTTCTCAAACTTTGTGATCTTGCTAGGCTCCAGTTTATCAAGATAGCCTTCTTACATGAGTATAGATTGCAACTGCTTGTTTTCAATAGCCATGGAAGAATACCAGGCTTGTATCAGCAACTTAGGCAGATACACACCAGCTTTACAGTTGCTGAGTTTGACTGCATTAAAGTCCGAATCAAATTGGGCAAAAGCAGCATTCACAATAATGAGCCAATTCCAGCTTCACAGTACCTGCCTCCTACTTTACAGCCCTGGTTTGGGCAGCATATCCAATGGAGAACACAGAACAACATTAATGACAGGGCAGGTACTTTTGTAGAGAAATTCTGTTTCTAAGAAGATCTGTTAGTCAGCAATGGATATTCCATTTGCTGAAATGTAAGCAGATATTACCAGCTTGTGTTTCTGTGACCGGTGAAGCAGTCAAGGAGCTACTGCCAGAGGAATTACTCATTTTGGCTACCCTCTCCAACAGCCAGGATTATAAATGAAACATATCACCAGGATAGGCCTCACAACAGGGAGTCGGCAGAGCAGCAGGGACATCTGATAGCAATCACCAGCCTGTTTGGATAGATCATCATAGATGGCAAATGTACATTTGCCATTATCTCTAAAATATTCTCCCATAGAACAGCCAGAATAAGAAGCCAGGTACTGAAGTGGGGCAACATCAGAAATAGCAGCTGAACCACAATAGCTTACTTCATGACATCTACATGTGTAAGTCTCTTCACCAACTGGAAAATCATCTCTTAACTCGTTGCAATGTAGAGACAATATGGCTTCTTCTATCAGATCATTGGAGTGTATAATGATTGTGTCAATAGCAATTTAAATTTTGCCAGTCTGTCGGTTGTCAATAATCAGTTCACACGGACCACAACTAACTAACACGAAGCAACCCAAAGCCTTAATGCCAGACTACTTAGTTTCTGCAACAAAGTTTGAGGAATAATTCCAAGATTTTTCTAACCAACTTGTCTATAGGTTTTGGAATCACTGGACCCACATAATTAAGGACATGATCAAGAGTATCTACTACACAACCCAACAGCTCCTTACCAACTGGAATGTCTACAGTGGCTCCTGTCCTCTTCACAATATCTCCTCCTTCAGTTTGTCATTTCCAAACATTTTCAGGTTCCAAGTTCAGAGACATAACCTTTAAGCCTGAAGAAAATTCTTCTACTTCTTCTGCTTGAACATTCGTCAGTCCATGTACTTGGGCAATACCACCACCAATACTTAAGACAGGCTGAGTCTCTTCAAGGTCAGCAGAAGTATTATCTCTAACAATATGCTCTTCAAAAATAGAGGACATCTCCACCGTGCCATTCATGAAGAAGAGTGTTAGAGCCATGGACATTTATTGCAGCAATGAAAGATGATCCCAGAGCATTTTTGGAGACCAGACCAGCTCACCAAGGAAGGGTGCCAGCAATAGCCATGGCAACCACATTACACGAGAGCATCGTTGCAGTGTAAGCGGCTTCTCTGTGGCTACAGCCTCCAAACTGGCCAGGTAGACATTTTCTTATGTAGTATGTTGTACTATTTGGCTAAATGTCTCTATGTTTCAACAAGATGACATGCTTTTCACAGATAAAGATTCCAAATATCATTTATCTTGTCCTCTATGGCACCAGGTTTGGTGTTTTGCATAGAAGCACACATGTTATTTGAGATAACACAGTCCTGCCAGCTTACAGTTTTAAAAGGTGGAAATCTGCACCTATCTGCCTAATTGCCTGAAGTCACCATAGGCTCTCCCACCTTGTGCTTTAGCCCACTGTAGATTTGGATTTAAGCTCTTTATGCTTCTCAACTTGCTTTCTGGCTGATTATTCCCAAGTGGAGGTTGTCGACTGCTTCATGCCCTCTTTTGTGATTGGTCAGCACAACAGGTACCAACCATGAAATACTCAAGGTAGTAAAAGCACTTTGCTCATGCAACTGGGAATGATTAGTATTCATGTGTTGGTAGTCCAATTTTCATTCTTTCCAATGGTAATATGGGCTTTTTACTATATGACTAGAGGAAGATTCAACACAGGCAAATATACCTGAATTGAGACTTATTTCAATTCAGTTATATTGAATGGGAATGAATGGGAAAAAGAGAAGACACTGTGAATCACATTGTCCATGGTATTTAGAAGATTTGGACAGAGAAGGAAGTGAGATAGGGAATGAAAAAGCTAGAGGAGATTTATGCTTTCAGATTTTTGTTTCAGAATGAAATAAATTAATATCAACAAATTGCTGAAATTATGATAATCATTACATACTTGATCTCATGTAAAATAAACTCAGGGAAGGGAGATGAAAAGAGATCAAAGACAAGGAAATATGAAGAAATTTAGTGTAGGGAGATAAAATTTTGTAGAAAGGACTGAAAAGGGGATCTTGGCCAGCAGCTGGACCTCTTGCAGGGCAAACTAGAATCTCAGGCTGTGTCTTACAGGCATTACTCACAGCAGCGACCTGGTTTAGAACTTCTACTTCCATGAACTATGTTTTTCAATTTCCCTTCTTCATGGAATTAGAGTCAAAAGTCAAACTTCTTTTAATTGGTGACATTTCAAATATCTTTGTGCATGTTTCAAACACAATTATAAAAATTTATGGCTTTCCCGAAATGTATTAGACCTGAGCATTGATGCCACATATTCCATTGTTGGGATCCAAGGCCAATATCGTGTACACATAGAATAAAAAGAATTCTGCAATTGGATCAGCAGAAAAAAAAGGAGTAAATGACTTCTACCTGATTCTTTTTAGAACTGCTCTGAGAGGTCAAAGGGAGATAAGAGAACACTGGAATCTTGAGTATCGCAGGGAGACAGAAAATAACATTTTTAGTATTCGGCCATATTATTCCCATAATGGTGATGAAAAAAATCATAAATAAAACCACCATTTTGAACGTTTTTTTCTGATTTTCATACCCTTGACATCTAAACAAGCCTGTGAAAAATAACTTATTTGCATTTGGAACCAGCAATAATTAAAAGTTGGACTAAGACATGAAAATGCCTTGAGCATGATTTGAAGAAAAAAAACATGTTGACTGCACAGTATCTTGGATGTATAAAAGACAACATGCTAATGATGATTATCTGAGACATTTTGATGATTTAAGTTCATTACTTTGATTCATGAAAAGTAACTATTAGTCAGATTTAACATGATAGTCATTCTTTTATTAGTGACCCTAAAAAAACAAAGTCCAGTCTAGTTTATTAACTTAAGTCTATAGCAGCACAACTGATTTGATTTGGTGTAAACATTGGCTGGTGTTAACAATTCATCAGTGTTTTGTTTATGTAATTTAATTTTACCCAAAGCAAACTTTCCACACTCAAGTTGGTCCAGGAAATCAAATTCATCTTGCTTCTATTGTCAGCCTTTAAACAATTATTTACAAATGGACTGGCTCTAATTTTATAATTGTATCATATATTAGGTAAAGTTCCAAATCTGCTGCTCAATTTTACTTCTAAAAACTTACTCCTAAAGCACAGAAAATTAAATACAAATTATTCCAAACTACTGACTCAAAATATAGCAATGTTGGTCAAGGTAAGGTTAAATTCTAGCTTCTTCATCTTTGCCTTTAATATATGGATTCTAATACTGTTCTGAGAAGATTTCTCCTTTCTAAGAGAATGAAATTAAAAATAGCTTAAAGAATCCACAGATAGGAAATACAGCACATGCACGGATTTAAGGAGAAAGGCTGGTTATTTATAACATATTGCGATGTGTTGTCCTTTCCTTATCAAAGTAATGCTTTGGACAACCAAGAAAGTTTTGTCATTATTTTCACAGAAAAAAAGGCAATAAATTTACATTTAACTGAGCTGCCCACTTAATCTCTCTCCTGTTGTGACCATGTTGCCACATTTGCAAAGTTACTGGCATTAACTAGCATGCTGAGATAAACCTCACAGCAGTTAAGCTGTAATTTTTAATCTTATTTGTTGAATTTTTTAACTTCACCAATGTTCTGTTTTCTAAAACTTTTTGTTTTCTAAAGCTTCCTTTTCAGATCAGTCCTTTTTAGTTGAAAATGCAGTGTATCCTTTTAAATTGCTCTGAACATACCAATTAAAATTATTTTTCTCAGTTATTTTTAATTTTTTCAGTGGTATTTGTCCTATTACTTCATATTGGACTTCTTTTGTTCTATTGAGTTTCCTCAACTATTTGATAATATTTAATTTATATCATATGATAAGTATACATTTAGTTTATATAATTATATAATACAATTATTGAGAGGTAATTGACATGCATACATAATACAAAAGTGTTTTGGTTCAAATAATTATGTGAGTATGTATAGAAGTTCTGTTTTCTGTTTGGGTGACATTTTTCTTCCTTTCTTATTTTTACTTCCTCATATGAATTAAAATCAAACACTCATAATTTGAGAAAACTATTTAAATTTTAAATTTATAAAACTAAAAGTCATAGCAGGACTTCTGCTTCCAGACATTTTATGATAACTGGCATAAGATTTAAAGTACAGTGAGTAAAAAGACGGGAAATATATGAGCAGTTCTTTAATGACCTGTGGGACTACATAAAATGATCTAATATAAGGTTAATTGGAGTCTCAAAGGAGAAGGTGGCAAGCAGAAAGAATATTTGAAGAAAATGACTCAACATCACATTTGATAAATTTTAAATATATAAAATGAGTGAACTCCAAGTGAGAGAAACACATTTTTAAGAGTACAGTAAGGCATATCATTGAATTACTGAAGTGGTGATAAAGACAAAGTCACAAATCAATGAGAAAGAAAAATGATGTCAAGTGAATACATGAATGAATACATACAAAGTAATAAAAGGTATTGGAAATGGTAAATGTGTGGATGAACATGAAAGGTATTTTTTCCTTCTAAGTTTAAGAGATAATTGACTGAAAAAAATAAAATCAATATGACTATATAACCATATATACAAATAAAAAATATAAAAACAATATTACAAGAATAGGAGGAGTAAATGGAAGCATACTGCTCTAAACTTCCTGTATTATTTGGAAATGGTGTATTACTTTTTGAAAGTTACCATAAGTTGAATATTCGTATTGTAAACCATACAGCAACCACTAAAATTACTGCAAATAGGAATAGCTAATAAACCAAAAGGAGAGATAAAGTGGAATATTAAAATGTACTAACTTAATCTAAAAGAAGACAGAAAAAGGAGGAAAAAAGAAGAGAAAACAAATGGAACAACTACAAATAAACAAACCTAAAATTCATATGAAACCAAAAAAGAGCCCACTTAGCCAAAGCAAGACTAAGCAAAAAGAACAAATCTTGAGACATCACTTTACCCAACTTCAAACTATACTACAAGGCTATAGTTACCAAAACAGGATGATACTGGAATATTAAAATAAGCCCATAGACCAATGGAACAGAATACAGAACCCAGAAATAAAGCCAAACGCTTATTGCCAACTGATATTCTGCAAAGCATACCAAAACAAAGTGGGTAAAGGACCACCACATTCAACAAATAGTGCTGGGAAACTTGGCTAGCCACATGTAGAAAAATGAAAATGGATCCTCGTCTCTCACCTTATGGAAAAATCAACACAAGATGGACAAAGACTTAAATCCAGAGCCTTAAGCCCTAAAATTTCTAGAAGATAACATCGGAAAATTCTTTTAGACATTGCTGAGGCAAAGAATTCATAACCAAGAACCCAAAAACAAATGGAACAAAAACAAAAGTAAATAAATGGGACCTAATTAAACTAAAAAGCTTCTGCACAGAAAAAGAAATAATCAGCAGAGTAAACAGACAATCCACACAATGGGAGAAAATCTTTGTGCACTATGCATCCAACAAAGGACTAATATCCAGAATCTACAAGGAACTCAAACAAATCAGCAAGAAAAATACAAACAATCCCATCAAAAAGTGGGCAAAGGACATGAATAGACGATTCTCAAAAAAAGATATACAAATGGCCAACATGTGAAAAAATGCTCAACATGACTAATAATCAGGGAAATGGAAATTAAAACGAAAATGAGATACCACCTTATTCCTGTAAGAATGGCCATAATTTAAAAATAAAAAAATAATAGATGTTGGCATGGATGTGGTAAAAAACAAAAAAAACAAAAAAAAAAAAACACTTTTACACTGCTGGTGGGAATGTTAATTAGTACAACCACTATGGAAAACAGTATGGAGATTCCTTAAAGAACTAAAAGTAGAACTACCATTTGTTCCAGCAATCCACTACTGGGTATATACTCAGAAGGAAAAAAAAAGAATTATATGAAAAAGACAGATGAACCTGCGTGTCTATAGCAGCACAATTTATACTTGGAAAAATATGAAACCAACCTAAATGCCCATCAACCAATGAGTGGATAAAGAAAATGTGATATTGATATACATATATATCATGGAGTACTACTCAGCCATAAAACAGAATGAAATAATGCATTTGCAGCAACTTGAATGGAGCTGGAGGCCATTATTTTAAGTGAAGTAACTCAGGAATGGAAAACTATCTTATGTTCTAACTTGTAAATAGGAGCCAAGCAGCTAAGCCATGAGGATGCAAAGGAATAAGAATGATATGATGAACTTTTAGGACTCAGGGAGAAGACTGGGAGGGTGGTGAATGATAAAAGACTACATATTGGGTACAGTGTACACTGCTCAGGTGATGAGTGCACCAAAATCTCAGAAATCACCACTGAAGAACTTATTCCGTGTAACCAAATACCACCTGTTCCCTAAAAGCTATTGAAATAAAAAAAAAAGAAAAGCAAAAATAGGCTTAAACAGAGCCATATCAATAATTGCAGTAAAAATAAATATTCCAGCCAGGTGCAGTGGCTCACGCCTATAATGCCAGCACTTTGGGAAGCACTCCAGCCTGGGTGACAGAGCGAGACACTATCTCAAATAAATAAATATTCTGAACACTAAAATTAAAAGGCAAAGATGACCATGCAGGACATACACAAGACCTAAATATGCCAGCTATAAGAAACACACTTTAAATATAAATAAACATATAGCTTAAAAGTAAAAGATTAAAAGGATACAAAATGCAAATACATAAGAAAATGCATCACTCTATTAATAAAAGACTGTAAAACATGAAATATTATGAGAGAAAATAGGTGACATTTTATAATAAATGGGCAATCCATTAAAAAGACAAATATCCTAAATGCCTGTGTAAAAAGGTTTCAGTATAAGAAACCAGAGAACTGAAGCAAAAAAGATAATTTCACATTTATAGTTGGAGATTCATACTCCTCACTTGTTAATTTAAAAAGTAGACAGAACATTAACAAGGATATAAAACACATGAAATGTAATATTAGCAAACTTGAACTGATAGACATTTATAAGCAGTCCACCCAACACCTACAAAATACATAATCTGTTCTAGTGCAAATGAAAAATTCACCAATATAGAGCATTTTCTGGGATATAAAACAAGACTAATTAATTTGAAAGAATTAAAGTAACAGAATATTATTGAACCATAAAAGATTTAAACTATAAATAAATAGCAAAATATTTATCAAAAATCCCCTATACCTGGAAAATAAGCAAATTTCTAAATAGTCTGTGGATCAAATAAAAAGTAATAAAGTAACTCAAAAATATTTGGGGAAGAATGATGATTAAATACATCAAAGCAAAATTTGTGGAATGTAGCTAAAGTGGGGTTTAGAAGGAAATGTGTAACCTAAAATGTTTGTATTAGGAAAAAAAAGAGCTAAGTTAATGGTCTCAAATTCTACCTTCAAAATCTTGAAAAAGAAAAATTCAAAGTAGAAGGAAGTAATCAATATATTAGAAAGAGATACAAATTAAAAAAAAATCAATGAAACCAAATGTGTCTTTTACAATATCAATAAACCTCTAACTAGGCTGAGCAAAGAAGGAACAGCACACATGAGAATGAGAACAGATACAAATGATCAATATCAGCAATAGCAGGAATGAAAGAATGTATTTCACTATAAATACTGCAGACATAAAACGATAATAAAGGGAATTGTACTAAAAGTTTGCCAACAAAATTGTCATGTTTGATGAAATTGACAATATCTTTGAGTGACAATTTACTTAAATTGACATACATAATAGAAAATGTTAAAACCTCATAGCTATTAAAGAAATTGAATTTATAATTTTACAAAACCTACAAGAAAAGTCTAAGTCCATATTATTTTACTGGTAAATTCTACTTAACACCTAAGAATAAGTGCCAGTCATACATAAACTTAGTATATGGAGGTGTAAGTAACAATTTTAACAAATTTGAGGCAAGCATTACCCTGATATTAAAACCAGAGAAAGACATTAGAAGAAAAAAGTTATAAATATTACTTATAAATGGATGCAAAAGTCTTTAACAAAATATTAACAAACTGAATCCAGCAGTGCATCAAAAGGATAAGTCATATGATCAAATTGGATTTATTTCAAGAATGCAAGGTTAGCTTAACATTAAAAAAAATCAATTGATATTATTCATCATTAACAGGATTTTTTAAAAAGGAATATATTATCAACTCAATAGATGCAGCAACAGTATTTGTGAAAAGTAAAACCCACACTCTCAAAACTAGACACAGAAGGGAATACCCTCAACCTGATTAGTCTGTTCTCATGCTGCTATAATGACATACCTGAGACTGGGCAATTTATAAAGAAAAGAGGTTTAATTGGCTTAAGGTTCTGTGGGCTGTACAGACTTCTGCTTCTGGGGAGGCCTCAGGAAACTTACAATCATGGGAGAAGGCAAAGGGGAAGCAGGCACATATTCACATGGCAGGCAGAAGAAAGAACAAGTGAAAGGGGAAGTGATACACACTTTCAAACAACCAAATCTCATGAGAACTCTATCACAAGAACAGCAAGGGGGAAGTCGGGAAGTCTGCCCCCGATTCAGTCACCTCACACCAGGCCCCACCTCCAACACTAGGAATTACAATTTGACATGAGATTTGGGTGGGGACAGAGAGCCAAACCATATCAGGATGTGCGTGCAAAACCTACCACTTTATACTTAATAGTGAAAGAACACTTTCCCTTAACACTGGGAATGGAGCAAGCCTGTGTGATATCACCATTTCTATCCCACACTATATGAGGTTCTAGACAATGTGATTAGTCAAGAAATGACAGATCACACAAAAAATAAGTAAAAGTTTACATTTGTAGACAACATGATTATGTATATTTTAAAATCCTAAAAGATCTACAAATTTGCTAATAGAACTAATTTAATTTAGCAAGTTTTCAGGATATAGGGTCAAAATAGAAAAATCAACTTATTTTGTTTATACTAACAGTGGACAATCAAGAAAGGAAATTGAAAGGAAAATTAGTTGCAATCCATGTATCTGATAAAACACTTTTCTCCAGAATATATCAATAACTTGCATAACTCAGTAAGACACCAAATTACCAAATTTTAAAAATGAATAACAAGAGTACTTCCTGTTTCCAAGCTAACATGACCTTAGAAGTCAACACCCTCATCTTCACAACAAGAAAAATCTGAATGAACTGAAGATCTTATTAGATCCATCGGAGTACTGAGGTCAAAGGGCAAACTGCTGCCTTGAAAACCAGAGAGACAGACAGGTAGATACAGAGAATCACAGTGTGCAGGAAGCAAAAGCCTTCGCCTGGAGCCAGCATCAGAAGGATTACTTTAAATTATGAATTGCTAGAGGCTCAGTGTAGACTAGCTTAAGTTAAAAATTTCAAGGGGATACAGCTTAATGGGATGTCCACACTTCTGTGAGTTTTACTTCCAGGAACCAGCAGGAGGAAGGAAAAAGTAACCAGTTTGAAACACAGCTGGAACTTTCTGTTATTTTTAAATAAGACCACCCGGAAAAGGAAATTATTTTGCCAGAGCCTAGCCAGCTGGTATTTTACCAAAGCCTAACTAGCCCGGGGGGAAGGGAAGCATTCAACTCCAGCCCTTTATAGTCTTTGATGTGGAGGAAGGGAAATATCTAACTCGGGCTCACTAAAAGATCTAATCACTGGACTGTAGATTGCTTCCCCCCCCCCTTCACATCAGTAGGGCTCCTATATAATAACAGGAAGGGATTACAGCTAAAGAATTCTAAGCCTAAGACTATTTAAGGAGTCTTTAAGAAAACCCAAAGAAAACAGGGAGTCAAAAAAGGGATAACAGAGCAGATTTCAGCCACTGATACCAGAGCTACAGCAACCACTGTACAGCTAACCACTGCCTACTTCTAACCAGATAAACATCGAACCTCACACTAAAAGCCTAGCTATTATTTGACCCCATGAATTTTCTCAGGTGAACAAATGAAAGTGGCATTCTCATACGGTGGAATGCTACTTAGCAATAAAGAACAAACTGCTTCAAACACACAACATGGATGAATACCAAAACACCATGCTCAATAAAATAAGCCAGACACAAATATACTTATGGTATTGACTCTGTTTACATGAAATTTTAGTCGACAGTGACAGAAAGCAGATCCGTGTTTGCCTGGGACCAGGATGGGAGAATTGCTACAAAGAAGCTTAAGAGAACTTTGTGGGGTGACGGAAATGTCCAGTTACACATATCTACCAAAACCCACCGAGCTGTTCACTTAAAATGGGTGCATTTAACTTTATGTAAATTATGTATCAATAAAATTTATTCTAAAATACTAGCATGAATTTTTTGGGGTGAGATAAGATTAGTGAGGTAATTCTATAGTTCATGTGGAAAAAGTAAGATTCAGAAAGAGTTTGAAATGCAAGAATAAGAAAAAAATTGATATGCCAATTCTGAAAATGGTAAGGCTTTGTTACATAATACTATAAAAATTTAAGTTATATGGAAATTTAGTCTACCGGGAAATGGGACATATAATTGATGTCCGAACATCCATGAAGCAATAAATGAAGCCATATCTCCATTTATGTTTCAGTGGAATAAATTTATATATATTTTATTTGGATAAAACCCAAATGCATCAAATAGATACGTTTATGTATCTCATGTATCTATAATATCACTCATAAAACATAAAAATTGAAATGACACCAAATGTGACATTTTCACCCATTTCATGGATGAAGATCCAAAAGTTTCACAATGACTATGTTCTAGAGAATAGGGGCAAATGAGCATACTTATACTTTTCTAATTTTTTCTTTTTACAATATGTGACCTCTATGACAGGCGATCTTTGTACAACTAAGCATTTTAATCATGTGGAATTGGAAAAAAATAAACTTTATTCTAATATTAATCCTGCCTATTCTTTTGTCTAAATATCCAAATGAATTATATCTGTTTTGTCAAGATCATTTTTCTCCAGGGGCACAGGTTTTTGGCCAGTACAGAGAAAAAAAAATGCAGGTTTCTAAATTGCTATTCTTCCTGTAACATATGAAGCTGTGATTTGGCAAAGCAGGGGTCTCCAAATTTTCAGGAGTTGAAAAATATGAAGTCCAAGTCTTATGACAGCATTTATTACATCTTAAGCCAAAATTAAATTTCTGAGACAGGAATGATAAAACTTCAATATAAAATATGTTAAATGAAATAGTTTAATATATGAATTAAACTATTAAGCTACCAGCAATATATATTTTATGCTGGACTTGTCAATTTAGCTAAAAATTCCAATATGCTGGACTTGTTAATTTAGCTAAAAATTCCAATATCACAAAACAAAAATTTGAGTTAAATTTATGTTCCCAGATTATGGAATGACATGTAAGACAAGTTCATGTACAAATACCTTATCAACCATGAATTAAATGAGCAGAAATTTGGGTTGATTTTTAAAAGAGCAGTAAGCTTAGTGCAGTTCAGTGCTATTACACTAGCAGAATGCATTAAATAGTAAACTCTTACAAAGGCTTGTTAAAAAGCCTGCTTAAAAATATATCATAAGCCTTATTTTACATGGAACTAATTGCTCAGTCTTTAGTATGATATAGAATCTAATTGCACTTTTATCCATTTAGTCTCAGTCATGGTGCAAAAATAAATCTAACCTCTTAAAAGAATAAGAAATTGTTCAGAACAAAAGGAAGAATGCTTCAGGATATATATACACACATAATAACCACATATATGTGTGTGTATATATATCCTGATGCACATATATATAGTACACATGATACAGTATACACATATGTATTGCCTATGAGTTACATATGTAAAGATAACCTTCACATGTAGCTAGAAAAATATTCTCTCGGTTGCCAAGAAATGTTCATTAAATTATGTTCCCAGTTGAAATGAGGTCACTGTGAACTCAGTCAATTGCCTATCCTAGATTCTTCATATCAGACGAGTTCATAAAACCAAAAAGAATAAGATAGGGGATTCTAAGTTTGGCTACTGAGTGGTTTAAAAGGAAAAAATGATTAACCAGGATTCTTGTTACACGTAATAAACATTGTTTTTGGTAGAATGGTTGAATTTCACCTGTAAAATGTACTTATTAAGAAGTTTTTAATTAATGAACACCAAATAAAAAATCTAGATGTCTCTTTGTTCGAGAAAAATGTGTTCCCTAAGGATGGTGATTCAGAGGCTTTCAACGTACTTTGGAAATGCATGACTTCCTAATCAGTTCTTAAGTAAGAGAATTAAGAATGACTACTTCTCCATTTCCATGGAATAAAGAATGATTTCTGGCAGGTGAATATGGAAGACCTGGGTTTAAATTCTCATCTGTTCTCTAAATCTGACCTTTGTCAAGTCATTCAGTGTTCTTGTTTCACTTTCTTCATCTGTAAAACGGGGGAAAGAAGTCTTGCCTTAAACAGGGTAGCAGTGAGGAAATAATAAATGTGAAGAAAATTTTAAAATGTGGTTTTGTTTGAAAAGAAATCCACTGATTTTTAAACTTTTTTTCACTTTTATTTGGGCATTTCTTATAGAAAATTCTGTAGGCTTGTTTCCTTGTTTTCAAGTCCTCGCTCTTCAATTCTAATACAGATATGGTCCATGCTGCCTTTATTGTTGTGAAAAATACATGTAATGTACAAAAAAACACATTTAAAAGAATGCTTATATCCAGAAACAAGTATAAATAAGTATTTTACTTAGTAATAGAATTGGGCACGAATTGTGTTTAGTTTAATCAAAACTGAACCTGTCCTGAGCCAGGCCACTTTAGGCTTCTCAGCTGCATCTAATAGGTGGATATTCTAGATTTCATTGAGCTGATTTCCATTTTCAACATGATTGCCAATGGCAGTGAAAGTGGGAATAAACTCATCAGATTAAGTGCCAAGGCTCACAAATAAAGCAAACTTTACATTGTCAAAATATCCAACTTAACTAGAGAAAGAGCATTATAAAAAACACCTTCTCAGAAAACACGTTTAAAGGAAAGCAGTAAAATCCCCAGCATCTGGGGTGATAGAAACCTTATTGATCACGTGGTGCCCATCACCACTCCGGACATAGGTGACATGTATGTCAATATATTATTTTCAAGAGCATACTTTTCCAAAGATATATAAAGGTTAAACCTTTCTACACTCCGTAGCATCTTTTGGAAGTTCCTACTTTCAGACTCCATCCACCGACCCCCACCATCATAAAAAAACAAATCCCAAAATGTGCAGCAGGAGCCTCATCAGGAAAGACAGACAGGAATGTGTTACAATCACATCTTGCTTCTCAAATAGGAGATACTTGTCTTTGGGGATGTCCTATGGTGCTAGCATCATCTAAAAGGTACCTTTTTTGCCACTTGCATGAGAGAAAAAAACAGATTTTATAATTCTGGTACATTTAATCTATGATCTGGGAAAGCTAGATGTTGGAGACAATAAGTTTAAGATTAAATCATATTTCTGAGAGCTAAGATGTTGATCTACCCTTGATTTACCTGTTTTGTCGTTGTGCCATTCCTTTAATGGATATACATATACCCCAGCCACCCACATTTTCTTTCTTTCCCTGTTTATGCAGCTTTTTCTGGATACAAGCTATTTAGAAGAGCTTTTCCTGTCCCTCTTACTGTTCATTCAGGGCTCTGGCCCAGGCTCTTCTCTCATTCTATGTAATCTTATGCATGATCTAATCTAGACTCTCTACAGTTACAAGTTACAAGCTTATGATTCTCAAAGTTACAGCCTTAGAGATCTTTTATGAACTATAATACACAGACTCAAATATTCCACAACCTGTTGAGTACCTTAGTTTGAATTTCCCCAGACCCTCAAGCTGATCACATAAATAAGAGAATCCATTTATATCTACCTTGGCCAAATTCTTCCCTTCCAGTGTTCACTACCTCAATGAATGGCATTATCCTTCTCCAGGTGCCCAAGTCAGAAACCTGAGCATTTGGCATTTTTCCTGACACCTGTTTTTCTCTCTTCCTACATATAATCTCTAGTCTTTGCCAATTCTACCTCCCATATATCTTTTATTTTTTATTTTGTTTTATTTTATTCTCCTGCCTCAGCCTCCCGAGTAGCTGGGATTACAGGTGCCCGGCTAATTTTTGTGTTTTTAGTAGAGACAGGGTTTTGCCGTGTTGGCCAGGCTGGTCTCCAACTCCTGACATCAGGTGATCTGCCCGCCTCGGCCTCCCATAGCGCTGGGACTACAGACGTGAGTCACTGAGCCCGCTTTTAAACGAGTCCACAGCTCTCTATCCTTGTTATTACTGCCTTATCTCAGGTCTCCCCTAAGTTTTGCCTAGATCATCTCAAAACCTCTCAATTACACTCTGCCTATAATTTTATAGCCCCAAATAGCTGAGTGAACTTCCACAAAGCTATCATAGCAGTCTTCTTAACATTGTATATCCAGTTATGTCAGTTTACTGTTTAAAATGCTTTGATGGTTGTTTAAGAAAGGCTGAAATTCAAATTCACTATAGCATACAAGATCTGGTCTCTGTCCATCAAAAAACTCCACGTCTATTCCCTACCACCTACCTTGTGCTACATAGCTACCTGCGTAACAAAGTATTTTATTTGCAAATCTAGGAAATTGCCCTGCTCTTAATCTCTCCTCTTTCTTGGATAAACTTTTCCTGCTGCTTATAGTGTTGTTGACCTCTTTGCTTGTTCAGCCCCAAACTGTCGTAATTCTGTACAAAAGTCACTTCCTCTGTAAAGTTGTTTTTGATCTTCTGTTTACCCCCACTACTTGGACTTGATTAAGGGTCCCTTCCTCTGAGCTCCTGTATTATGAAGCTCTATGTTCAGTTATTACCCATTTCAGTATTTAGTAAGAACTGAATGTATGTGCCAGACATTGGACTAAGAGCTGGAGATATACTAAGATGAAGACACAAACTCTTCCCTCTATGATGCACTTGGTCTAGTCTAGCTCCTTTTTGGTACTATGTAATGCTGGTTTACTTGCCTTTTTCATTGTACTATGAGTTTCTTGAGACCAAGACATCTTGGCCTATAAATAGCTTCAGTTTTACCCGTATGTGGAATGTAACTTAAGGGGCCATAAAAATCCTTGTAACATTTTTTAAAAACTAGCATGCCTATCTGCAAATGGGCAGTGATGTTATCTACTTATTTGTGGTTTAAAAAAAAAACAAAAAACAAAAAACATCTTTTTTGACATGTTGTTTTGGTCTTTGTTCACATCCGTTAGCATTTTGGCAGAAGCCCAAGCTGTATCAGGGCATTATTTATGTAATGCTTCCTCTCAATACATGCCTTGGCTGAGTGGCATGAAAGCACCAGCTTTTCCATTAAATCAGGTCCTTATCTCTGACAGAATACTCACCTTGGTTTTCTTATTCTGCATTCTAGTTGCTTTAATAGACATCCTAGAGATTTTCTTATTAGCTCCCACTGCTGCAACCATGACAGCTGTAAACCATCAGTTGTTGGGCTTGCTGGAGGCCTGCAAAGTACTGTGCCATGATAGCATGCTTCATCCAATTCATGGAACAACCAAAGTTCTGAATTTATGATGGAACTTTAATACGGATGGTTGGGGTAGAAAGTATCTCAGAGCTACTAAAACTCACTTTTCCTCCCAATCAATGCCACAGTGCATTTCAGAAAGCACTTTTTTTAACAACCAAAAAGAAAAATATACATCTTCATATTTCTTGCCTGATGAGGTAAATTGTAGATACTTTTTGGAAATGTTTTGCATAAAACAACTCTTCAAAATTTTTATCTGTCATTGGGTACATGAATTGTCTGTACATGGAAAATGAGATAGGAGTTGGGAAATGTCTGAACACACTCAATAAAGGGTTCCCAGCTGTTTTTATGATAGTTTCTTTTCACCAAGGATGAATGTCACATACTTACACAAGTGTCCCTGAGATTCTGGGATCCTGTCTAAAGGTACAATGTTCCCAAAGGCTCTTTGAAGAATGAACAAAAGCTTAAATACTTCACTGCTGTGTTAGTGTTTTAGAAATTAAAGGAGACAGACAAAAGAAGCAGCAAAATACATTTTTCATACATTATCTCAGTACATATTGGCTACTCAATGAAAATATGAAATAGGGATAATATGATGTTTCCATTGATCCTTGTATCCTTATCAAGTTAATCCCCTCTCCTATGATTCTATTGTAACAGAAATCCAAAAGGAAAAGCAAATATTCCCACACAGTATGACAGTGTAATACTATCTTGGTTTTTAAATTTCTCAAAAATACATATTTACTATTCATGCATCAGTAAATTCTTTTTAAGTGACTAGTTGGTGATGACATTTTGAGAAGCGTTGAGAACTTGAAAGTGTCCAAAATGAGCATCTCCCATTCCCTTAATGAACTTAAAATGTAGGAAAGACATCAGCATTAAACATTTTCTCACATAAACACATGACTATAGTAAGCAATAAAGGGTATGGAGGGAAAAGTTAAAAGCACAGTGCAAGAACATAACATGTTAAGCAGCTTTTTCCCCATGTCTACACCCAGCATGGATGTGCAGAGGAGTCGTCCTAGAAATGGCACGGACTAACAATTTCACAGCTCCAACATGGGCAGAGCTGCCCACTGTTTTGCTTGCATCAAGGTTCGTTGTTGTGTTAGTCAGGAACCATAGCTGGGGCACCATGCTGCCTGATAGCCAGGGATGGTCCCTTCCTGGCTCACAGTATTGTCTATGATTGGCCACTGCCTGGAAAGGTCTATTTGGGGTTTGCCAGAGGAAAACTTAATGTTTGTTGCAAGGCAGAAAGCTTGAAACATACTCTTCTAGTTTTCTAAGACTCCTTCCAGACTGTTCACAACAACAAAGATAGCATTCTTTATACATCTCTCTCTAGTTCCAAACTCAACCACACACACCATTCAGCTTGAGCCTCACAGCTCCCAAGAGAGGCACAGCTTAGTGTTCTTAGTTACAAGATAAGGGAACCAAGGCTCAGAAAGGTTAAGTGCCTTGCTCGAGGTCACACAGTTAATGCATTTTGGCACTGGGATTCAAACCCAGCTCTCCTGAATCAAAAGCAAGAGTTCTTGTGGCCATGCCCTGGTGCTTACCTCCTAAGATGTTCATCACCCCAATTCCAGGGATGATTGTTTACATTCTGGTTTCTGTTGCCATCTGGTTTTTGAGCACTTCAGGAACAATTCTAGTCTTTCCAGAACTTAAGAGTGGTAGGCAGAAGACGAGTCACAAGTAACAGATATGCTAAAAGTATCTCTTAGTAGGAGAAGGAAATTCAAACGGCCAGTGTCACATTGTCAGAGATCAAAGTCCGGGCAACTGACAAACTGAGTTTTCAACAAAAATCCATGGGAAGCAGTATGTTAAGAGAAAGAGATAATGAACAGTTTTGTTAAGACATGGGAGTCTCCAAGTGGCAGATCTCATTTTAGAAACTGTTTAAATACTTCAAGAAAAAAAAAAGTAGATTTTATCAATGTGGAAAAAAAGTCCCAGGGAAAGGCATACTCATTTGAGGAAAGCATGCATGTATTCATTCATTCACACATTTATTTATTTACGGTAGTTCATACAAAGACCAGAGTTGAGGTATTAAAGCAACAATTACAGCTAGCTGCTGCTCCTGCCTGGTGAGCAGGTAAGAAAGGCTGTGAGTTAGACCTGAAAAAAAGCTGTTTAGAGGCAAGTGTGATTTACCTTAAAATATTCCATTCTGCACTTGAAGTCAGCCTTTAAAAAAATTTCTCTGGCTTACATCATGTTCTCAGGGTACTTGGTTCTCTCAACTGGTGTATGGTTTTTCTAAGGAACAGAGGTAGTGGTCAAGTCAAACCAGTATATAATTATGGGTTCAGTCTGGATTGCTGCAGAGTCTAGGAAGTAAGGTGACCTTGGAAGATTAGAAATTAGTATTTAGTGTATTCTCTCTTTTTCTGGCCTCTCAGAGCCTGGAATGCAAGAATAGTAGGATTATTTAAAGCACAGAATTGGCAGGGCATGGTGGCTGACACCTGTAATACCAGCACTTTGGAAGACCAAGGCAGGTGGATCACCTGAAGTCAGGAGTTCGAGACCAGCCTGGTCAACAGGGTGAAACCCCATCTCTATTAAAAATACAAAAATTTGTTGGGCGTGGTGGCACATGCCTGTAATCCCACCTACTTGGGAGGCTTAGGTAGGAGAATTGCTTGAACCTGAGAGGCGGAGGTTGCAGTGAGCCAAGATCATGCCATTGCACTCCAGCCTGGGTGACAAGAGTGAAACTCCATCTCAAAAAAAAAAAAAAAAAAAAAAACCCTAAATAAATAAAATAAATCAGTCACAGAATCTGAACTCAGGCTGCCTGGTGCTGAATCTTGGCTCTACCACTTATCATCTGAATGTCTGAGAGGAAGGTGTTTTACTTCTGTTATCTCACCTATAAAATGAAAATAGAAGACATTTCTTTTTCCTGTTCTTTCTCGTCACTTTTCCCTGTCCTTTCTTCTCTCCTACCCATCTTCCTTCTCTGCCTCTCTGACTCCTTCCCTTCTACTTTCTACCCGGCATCATACTCCCTTTTTTTTTTCTTTCCTTTTAGCATCCTCCACTTGTAAATCTTCCCACCATGGTAGCCAAAGAGGCCAGATATCCTGTCAACTGCAATATGACCTTGTATGGGCCAACAACTCTGCCTGCAGAGACTTTGCCTCTGGAGGGCACAGCACACACCTGTAAAGGGACATGAAGAATGGATGGTAAGAGCACAGCCACGGCAGTGTGGTGCGGTCAGGAGGCAGCATCCATCCTAGCTGCACTGCCGCACTCCCGGGTCCCCTGATCCCTAGACCATGCCTCAGCCTTCCTGTAGGCTGGCTGTAGTTTCCTTATGTCCATCCAAGCAATTTCTTTCTTTTTTTTTTCTTTTTTTTTTTTTTTTGAGACAGAGTCTGGCTCTGTCCGCCAGGCTGGAGTGCAGTGGCACGATCTCGGCTCACTGCAAGCTCCACCTCCCATTCGGAGGTTCGCGCCATTCTCCTGCCTCAGCCTACCGAGTAGCTAGGACTACAGGCGCCCGCTACCGCGCCCGGCTAATTTTTTGTATTTTCAGTAGAGACAAGGTTTCACCGTGTTAGTCAGGATGGTTTCAATCTCCTGACCTCGTGATCCGCCCACCTCGGCCTCCCAAAGTGCTGGGATTACAGGCGTGAGCCACCGCACCTGGCCCATCCAAGCAATTTCATCCAAGCAATTTCTTTTCTAAGTTAACCAAAGTTATATTGTTTTCTTCTAAGAATGCTGACAGATGAAATGGGAAGAATACTTCATTTGCAAGGACTAAAAAAAAGTGCAAGTTAAGCACTTAGTATACCAGGGGGCATACAATAAGCATTGAACAAATATTAGCTATAATAATTATAAAAACTAGTACTATTTTAGTATTACAGGCTATCTTACTGTATTTAAAAGAAATATACTTTTTTTCTGGGTATAATTTAAAATACATATCTGATTAAAAGAGAATGAATGATGAAGTATAAGAATTCTTTAAAACACAGAAAATTATGAGGAAAAAAATGGAGATAGTTCTTACTCTCGTTAACTAAAGAGTAATGGGTGTGACTGCTACGGAGGTAAGCCACTTGAATCTCCCTTCCAGAAAGAACTCACAGTACAGCTGCAAGAAGCATAATGGGCTGACAGCCTCCAGATATGAAACACCTCGGGGATTGTATTAGTCCATTTTCACGCTGCTAATAAAGACATACTCGAGACTGGGTAATTTATTAAAAAAAAAAAAAAAAAAAGAGGTTTCATGGACTCCCAGTTCCACATGGCTGGGGAGAACTCACAATCGTGGTAGAAGATGAAAGGCACATCTTACATGGCAGCAGACAAGAAAGAATTGAGAGCCAAGCAAAAGGGGAAACCTCTAAAAAAGTAGAGACTTATTCACTACCACGAGAAAAGAATGGGGGAAACCGTTGCCATGATTCAATTACCTCAGAATTATAGGAGCTACAATTCAAGATGAGATTGGGATGGGGACATAGTCAAACCATATCAGGGATCCTCTCCAGCTTTTGAGTTGAGGCCATGCTCTTTCCAGGCAAAGCCAGCCAGTAACTATACTTGAGCATGGTGGAGGTACCAGGGCCTGGCCAATCTTGCTTAATAGGGAACTTCTCTAATGATCAGTCTTGCTCCAGAGATCTCTACTGGGTTGGCAGAGACTGTGTCACATCTATTTTGTGAACCCTTCCTGTCCAGTCCTGCTCTCCCTCCTCTTTCCTTTCACACACACTTGTCTGAAGGCTTTTTCTGCCCAATCCTGCTTCCTCTTCCTTTTTTCTCTCACAGGTCTTACTCCCACAAAGTGCTTAAAATCCTAATTCCATCATAATGCCTGCTTCTAGAAGACCCAACTAACAGAAGTATATTTGTTTCCACTCATTTTTCTAAATGTCTATATTTGTGTGCATGTGTGTGATTTTTTGTTACATAATTGAGCTCATATGGTAGACCTAATTCCATACAATTTTTGTCTTCACATTAAATATAAAAATGTTTCCATGTCATCAATTTCTAAAGACTAATGATTATGATTATTTTACTTGAATACAGTACCTCATTTAATTTTACATCAATTCAGAATTGGCACTACTAACCCCATGTTTAGAGATGAAGAAACTGAGGTTCAGGGAAGTTAAGTAACTTATGTGCAGAAACAAAGGAAGTAGACTGGGAGTAGAGCCCCCCAGTCTGTGGTCCCTTGTTAGGGCAGCACTAGCAAATGAATACAGACAAGGGGGCTGACAAGGTAGGAAGGACCTGATTAGGGAGGTCCTTATATGCCATGTGTAGGAGTTAATGCTCTTACTCAAAAGGCAATAGGGTGCTACCACAAGATTTTAATCAAGAAGAGATAAGACAAAATTCACATTTTATTTTTATTGATTTTTGAGATGGAGTCTCACTCTATCACCCATGCTGGAGTGCAGTGGTGCCATCTCAGCTCACTGCAACCTCCACTTCCTGTTCAAGTGATTCTCCTGCCTCAGCCTTCTAAGTAGCTGGGATTACATGCACCCATCGCCACATCCAGCTAATTTTCGTATTTTTAGTAGAGATGGGGTTTCACCATGTTGGCCAGGCTGGTCTCGAACTCCTGACCTCAGGTGATCCACCCATCTCGGCCTCCCAAAGTGTTGGGATTACGGGCGTGAACCACCATGCCCAGCCAAAATTCACATTTTAGAAATGTTTATCTCCTGTACTCAGTGGTTCCACTTTTGCCCTTATCTAGCTCTCCCATGCTGAGAGAAGGTGGGACTTGGGGGATGGGGAAAGCCACTATCAGGTGGCTGGTTCCTATGTATCTGACCAAGCTTCAAGCTGCATTCTCCTGCAATCTCATCATTGGCTTGTCTTTATTTCCAACTTTTTTTGTTCCTCCAAGAATAATTCCTGCAGCTACAACAGACTTTCTTCCAGGCCACCAGAGTCCTGCCTTTCTCACCAAATCTCATTACTGCTTATGACCCAGCATGACATTTAGAGAACATTGGAAAGACTTATTTAAGAAGTGACAAAACGGAGGTACTTGTAATTAAGAGCCGTCTACTGAGCCTAGAAAGGGATGCAAACTCCTCTGGGCATAGTGAAGAACACAGGTGATGCCTGTGCAGTGCCCAAAGGAACAAGTAGGCAGGAAACTGCTCTATGCTGTCAGTGTCCAGCCCAAAGCTTTGGGTGGGTGCCAGGTTAATGGAGGAGAAGCTGGATAAACTGGGTTCATGTGGTTCGGATGAGAGGTCCAGAGAATGACTATCTATAACTGGCTGATTAGAAGAGATCTCCCCTGAACTTCATATATCACATTGCACAGGCCCTGTGAGGAGGTCTTGCTGTTTGTGGGGCATTACGAGATTAAAATGTTGGCAAGGAAATTGGAGTTCTAACAGGAAGTAGGTAGACCACAGGATAATTATCTATGAACACATGAAGCATCCTCCTCTTCCACCTCGACTCCTGGGGACTCCTCAAGACACTCCGGGTAGTGATAGAGAAGGGGCTAAGTACTTTCTTGGAACAGGTTGCTGAGAGCCTAGGAACTAGTGAGGACTGGTGAAACGTGTGTTTACCAGGTCAAGGAATTACTTAGGTAATCACTGAGTGTCATTCCCCAATTTTTATTGCCGCTCTGTCCTGTTCCTTGTTTAGTGTGTCAGTACTCATACAGCATGACATATATCAAACTATTATATCTCTTTTCTAACTTCTGGTAGGAAATAAGGATAGATGGTTTGGCTGGTTTTGCCCTCTGTACATAACATGACTTCCGCATGTATCTCCTTTACTTTTCTACCTTATAAAATGATTTTGTAATTAGTAATAGCTTTATTTTATATGACAGAGTGGGACCAAGGTACTGCTGTTTCCTCGTAAAAATCCCCATGACATTTGATGTTATGCTACTCAAAGAAGGCAATAAAAATTCATTGTTGCACTCAAAGACAGTTGGGCAGAATACTCAAAAGCCATCATAAATTGAGTAGAGGGGCCTCTTTCTATGGGGGTAGGGACTAAACTTAAAGGTATATTTACAGACTCGGCCATGGTTAATTCAGGGACTATGGTGGTCTTGTCTGTGGGCAGCATCTTGGCTTACCTTTTCAGCTTCCTGTGGACCATAGATGCTGCCCACAGACAAGACCACCATAGTCCCTGAATTAACCATGGCTGAGTCTGTAAATATACCTTTAAGTTTAGTCCCACTCCTCAATTAGCCTTGGTAATGGTGTGGCAGATTATATTTTTCAAGAATAGTAATGGCAATATCTCTGGTCTCACATGCATTTCTAGAATCTTGCCACTTTTCCATCACATCCTAGATGCTACTTCCCTTCTCCTTAAAACAGGGCCAGTCTTTGTCGAACAAGTAGAAAGAAGCAGAAGTAATGATATTACTTCTGAGGTTGGGTCATCAAAGGCCATACAACTTCTACTTGGCTGTCTGTTTTTTATATGCTTACCCTTGGAAGCTAGCCACTGTGTTGTAAGCTAGCCAAGGCCCCATGGAGAGACTATGCCTAAGTGTCCCAGCCTACAGCCCCCATTAAGGTCCTAGGTGATTGCATCAACCACAGACGTGTGAGTGAATAATTCTCCAGGTGATTCTAGCCATCAACCTTCAAGCTCCCACCGTGTAGAACAGAGCTGTCCCTCCAGGGCCCTACCCAAATTGTGGAGTTATGAACAAACTATAAGTTATTATTTGGGGGTGGCTGCTACACGGTCATAGTAACTAGAACAAATGGGCTTGGTGCCAGCATGACACGGTTTTCACTGTGGTAGGGGTAAGGCCTCAATGTTCTGGTACCAAGAACATGAAGTAGCAGCATTCTGCAGCTATCTTTTAGGCTGAAATTACATAGTGAGAAAGAGCAAAGTCTTTGGAACCCAAAGAACCTGGGTTCAATCCCAGTACTGCCCCTACCAGTGGTATATTGATCCCCGTTGTGAGAAGAGGACAATTTAATTTGCCTCACTAAGTTGCAGAGAGCCTTTGAAGTACTTAATACATACTGGCATATAATCTCTTAGGAACTAAGATAACTGACCCAGTGGAGCCCAATTTTTTAGGAAGAAGCAGCAGCACTTTGGGGAATAGGCTATTAAAAATAATAATGGGAGGAACACCTTCCACTTCTACCCTTTGATTCTTGAACCTGTGGCATTTTGGCTGTGGAATTTAAAAGCACCATACTGTAGTCACTGGTTCAGAACATATATAACACTTTCACTTAATAAAAGAGTGTTAATGTCCACGTACTTCATTATGATTTGGTGGATTAGATGTCATTCGGTTGATGATGGGTATCTCAGGTTGTACCATCACCTGGTATTCCAAGTCCAGATATTTAGACTCTATTTGGGCTCATTAAAAAGCAGGAGCCAGAGGTCTATACATAGGCCTCTTTGTCATAGATTTCAGCAGCATTATGCCAGCTGGGTCAAAAGCCCTAAATGGTAGACTAGTTTGCACCGCAGCTTGGACCTAATGCAGACCTTGTTTTGCTCCAGGTCTCACCCAACACTGTCAGTTGCTTAGCAGATGAATGAGGGCAGCACACTCAAATTGGTATAAGCTATTTCCTAAATTCAAAGAGACCACTATGCCTCTTTCTTTTTTAAAAAATTTTTTTATTATACTTTAAGTTTTAGGGTACATGCGCACAACATGCAGTTTTGTTACACATATACACATGTGCCATGTTGGTGTGCTGCACCCATTAACTCGTCATTTAACATTAGGTTTATCTCCTAATGCTATCCCTCCCCCCTCCCCCCACCAAAAGACACACGAAAAAGTGCCTCTTTCTTAATGGTAGGCAACTTGTCTTTCACTTTGGAAAGGATATCCCAACAAGCCCCAGACATCTGAACCCTTAGTAACTTTTCCAAAGAGACAGAGCCCTTAAGTTTCATGGTATTCACCACCCACCCTCTAGCACATCTTTGTCTTACTAAGGCTTCTAGGATACTGGCCATGTGCTGTTCTTCCAGTCCAGTCAGTGTAATGAATGATCTATAGGATGTCAAAAGTGTCAAAGTTCTCCACACCCTTATGACTGAGAGGAGGAGAGTTAATGAGTTGATACCGCCCTTTCCTTGCCAGGTAAAACAAACTGCTTCTGGTAGTCCTTAATGTTAATACAGAGGGGGAAAAAAAAGCACTTAATCAGTATGCATATCGGCTGTCAAGGGCTGCGTTGATTTGCCTAAGTAAATATGCCACGTCTGGAACAGCAGCTGTAAATTAAAATCACTACTTAATTGAATTTACGATACTCCACAGTCATTCTCTACAATCGATTTGCCAAATGGGGCGGTTAAATGAGGATGTGATAAGAATTATTACCCCTTCGACTCTCGTCTTCTATGAGGGCATTATTTTCTGTTGTATTCCCACAGATAAAGCAGTGGCTCTGGCTTACATGCTGATAAAGAAGAGAAATTCCTTGGGCTTCTACAGAAATAAAAACCACAAATACCCACACTCTACAGATCAGGGAACCAAGTGATATAGTTTGAGTGTTTTGTCCCTTCCAAACCTCATGTTGAATTGTGATCTCCCATGTTGGAGGTGGGCCTAGTGGGTGGTGTTTGGGTCATGGGGGCAGATCCCCCATGAATGGTTTGGTGCAGTCCTCACCACAATGAGTGAGTTTTCACGTTATCAGTTCACACAATATCTGGTTATTTAAGAAAGCCTGGCACCTCCTCCCTCTCTCTCTTGCTCCTTCTCTCGCCTGTGGCTCGCCTTTGCCTTTCACCATGATTATAAGCTCCTGAGGTCCTCACCAGAAACAGATGCTGGCACCATGCTTCGTGAACAGCCTGCAGAGCTGTGAACCAAATAAACGTGTTTTCTTTATACATTACCCAGTCTCAGATATTCCTTTATAGCAACGCAAACGGACTAACACAATGTAATGATTTTGCCATTTTCTCAGTATGCCTGTTCCAACTCTGCATTTAGGAACCAAGGAAATGTCTACAGAATGACTAGGCAGAACTGCTGGGTCCACTGTGAGATAAACTACTCTAGCCACGCCATTTCACTGCTGATCTCCACAAGCTCCCACTAAGATTCTTAGAATCCATTCCAACACATATTTTCCAAGTTTTGGCTCTTATAAAATGCACATTTTCCTACTTTTTAGTTTAAACTTAGCTATATCCTAGTTAGAATTTTTACATGTCTTTCCAGGACTTTCTGTACTATGACTCTGGTAATGGGTCTAGAAGGAATTGGGTATATTGGAGTGGGTCTAGGGGAGAATGAGCATCTTCTCACAAGGCACCTGCTTCAGGGGATCTTCAGGCAGGTGAGCCTCTGTAGTAAAGGAGGAAGAATTTCTTGTACTGGCAAGGGTGCTCAGGAAATTGAGGGGCTTGTGGTTTTCAGATTTCACCCGAAGATTTCCTTTTCAATTCTAAACATTTATCTCCATTTCAATTAAGACCCTAATTTTCACATGAGACTTGGAAAGTATACAAATACTACTTATAGTTTTCAAACTACAGAAACAAATTTTGAGTCTGGTTTTCAGCTCTCAATCCTTGCTGATGCTGAAAGTTTTAAGCCTTAAGCTTGTTTTCTTTGTGTAAGCTCTCTGATGCAGTTAGAAGTGCTCAAATCATTTCACCATCCTTAAGCCACCATTACCATTGTAATGGTCAGGTTCAGTGTTCAATTGGCCCCCCAAGCCTTGTCTTCTATGGGTGCTCTTTCCCAGGATTCAACAGATAATACATGAGTTAATTGTGAAAATAAAGAATGCCATGGGTTATCAGTATCATATTTTCCACTGGTAATGAGATCATTTTTTTCAAGTCCATTTATATTCTTATTTTGATAACCTTTTTCCTCAGATACCTCTGCTGTTACCAAGTATCAGTAAAGACCTACAGAGGAAAACAAACAAAAGAAAACATTAAGTATTTCAAGCAGAAAGAACTTAATAGAGTAAAACAATTAAAATGCATGAAAAGGGCTGGAGCAGCAGAAAGAAGACAAGATGTCACCCTGAAATCAGGAAATTGCTATCATCTTAGCAGTGAAGCCCATTGGCATGCACTTTCTAACATGCCGGAACTAGAACTTCCAAAGAATGCTGCCCCTGCCAGAGCTGAAAGCCATGAAGAGTTGGCTTGCAGGAGTAAATGCACAGCCATCTGGTCTCCACAACTCTTCAACAACCAGCAGCTACTAGAGCAACTGTCAATGTGTTTGGAGCCAGAATCAAAATTGTTCCTCCTTCTTTCCACTCTCAGACCCCTTATCGGTACACCTCCTTTTCGGCAGAATTTAACAAGAAGCCAGCTGCTAAAAGAGTCTGATAAACACAATCCCTTCTTACTCAGAGTCCCAGTTCCGGTAGTTCAAAGTAGACTACAGAATAATAGGTATAAAGTTGGTAGAAAATATAAATAACTAAAGATGGCTGGATGGGAAGATAAATTTGGGGATGTTGGTGGCATTGAGAAATTGTTTTAATAGCCCTGGGATATTCTGTTTTATGAAAAGTAAAATTCCCCATTTATTTAAAAAATATTTGTATTCAGGGTGTTTAGGATATCCATCACCTCAAGCATTTGTTATTTCAATTGCTTTAGGACATTTCAAGTCCTCATTTCTATTAATAGCAGTTTTGAAATATATACTACATTGTTCTTAACTATAGTTACTCTACTATTGAACATTATAATTTATTCCTTTTATTGTTCGTCCTTTCATAAAGTCTAAGAACCCCTTGGTAGAACACTCAATCTCATATCCTCTTGCAGTTGTTGCTTTGCACCTGCATCACCAGTTTTTACCTCTCTTCTGAATCTTTCCCAAAGTCATACAAACATGCACTAATATGTCCTACCTTGATAGCTGCCTAGACTCCAACTTCTACCCCAGTTACTACATATTTCTGATTCCTTTATGGCAGAACTCTAGTGTTGTTATCTCAACTTCATCTCCTTCCCCCATTTCTTAAATCAACCCCAAGCAGGTCTTCACCATTCCCCTGCCACCAAAAGAGTTTATGTCCATTTCTCCGTGACTTCTCAGGCCTCACCTTATTCTGTTTATCAGAAACCACTAATAGACACAGTGGCTCTGATTCTTTCTTTACTTAGACTGTAGAATACTATTATCTTTGTCCTTTGATATAACTTCCTATGTCTGGTTAGTTACTTTTCCCAATACTTACCTGTCTCCCAGACCCCTAAACATTGTGTGTCCTAGGTCTTGGACTCACATACCTCTTCTATGTATCTTTTTAGATTATTTCATTATGTTCCACAGATTATAATATCATCATCTTGACGAGAATTCTAAAATGTCTATCTGTAGCACCAATTTCTACCCTCAACTTTGGTCTCAAATATACAGAACTGGCTACTTGGCATCACAACTTTGTTCCACTTTACCCTAAATTAAGACTCTCAAACTTAACCTCTACTGAACTCTTCATTCCACTCAATCCTGTCTCTCTCTAGTGTCTCCAGTCTCAGAAAAATGGAAACACCTTTCTTCTAGACATTCAGGCCCAAATCCTTGACTTCATCCTTTTACTCTCATATTTACTCATACTCTGTATTGCACCTTGAAGCACATCCTATGTGCTCTTCTAAATATTTCCAAAATACGATTATTTCTTTTCAATCCTGCTGCTACCAACTGTTTTAAGACACCATCATTTCTTGCCTGCATTATTGAAATACTCTATTAGTTTGGTGCAAAAGTAGTTGCGGTTTTTGCCATTGAAAGTAATGGCAAGGCTGGGCGCTGTGGCTCACTCATGTAATTCCAGCATTTTGAGAGGCTGGAGCAGGTGGATCACTTGAGGTCAGGAGTTTGAGACCATCCTGGCCAACATGGTGAAACCCCGTCTCTACTCAAAATACAAAAATTAGCCAGGAGTGGTGGTGTATGCCTGTAATCCCAGCTACTCAGGAGGCTGAGGCAGGAGAATTGCTTGAACCTGGGGCAGTGAGCTGAGATGGTGCCACTGCACTCTAGCCTGGGCAAGAGAGACTCCATCTCAAGAGAAAAAAGAAAAAAAAAAGTAATGGCAAAAGCTGCAATTACTTTTGTACCAACCTAATATATGGTCTTTATTTCCATGTTTTGCTGTGTTTACTCCTCTGCTGAAAATCAGATATGGGTGAAAGAATAGACACACAATTAGTGAGACAGTATAGAGAGTTTAGAAATAGACCCACATAAATATGATCAATTGATTTTCTATAAAGGCACTAAGGCAATTCACTGGAAAACAGATAATCATTTCAACAAATGGTGTTGAATTAACTAGACATCCATGAACAACAACAAAAATAAACCTCAATCTAGACTTCCAACTGATATAAAAACTCAAGACGGATCAGAGATACTAATGTAAGTGTGTAAAACTATGAAGCCTTTAGAAGAAAACTTTTGTAAACTTGAGTTACAGTTTCAGACATCTCAACAAAAGCATGATCTATAAAAGAAAAACATGATAAATTGGACTTCTTCCAAGTTGAAAAATTTTTCTCTGCAAAAGACACTTCAGGAGAATTAATAAGCCACAATAAAGCAAAAATGTTTCCAAATCACATTTCTGAAAAATTATCTGTATCTAGAATATATAAAGTATTCTCAAAACTTAATTTTAAAAAATTAAATTGGTGAGGATTCTAAAATGTCTATCTCTAACACCAAATTCTACCCCAAACTTTGGGTAAATTTTTTTTTAAAAACCAAAAATAGACAGATGGATATGCCTTGACTTTCCCAAAAGCTTAATTCTGAGTTTTTCAGTTTCCTCTCTTTGGCTAGAGCTGGATCACGTGTTCCCATAAATAAAAGGGCATGTGAAAAGAAGAATATTTTGATTTACCGCATTGTATCCCTGAGGCTGCATAAAACTAGTGCTTTCCTGCTACATAAATATTTATATATTGCCTATATATTATTTATATGTTAATAAGAGTGTCCTTGACCTTTAGCACTTCCATTTATTCCTATCTTGTAATTATGTTCAACAAAAAAATGCTCCTAGGATATGGAAATTTAGCAACACACTCTTGAAAAAATATTGCGTCAAAGAAGAGATAAGAAGGAAATTAGGGCTGGGCATGGTGGCTCATGCCTGTAATCCCAGCTACTCGGGAGGCTGAGGCCGGAGAATTGCTTGAACCCAGGAAGCAGAGGTTGCAGTGAGTAGAGATTGTGCCATTGCACTCCAGCCTGGGTGACAGAGCGAGGCTCTGCCTCAAAAAAAAAAAAAAAAAATAGAAAGAGAAAAAGGAAATTAGGTAAACAAGACAAAAACAAAAATACAACATATGCAACTCACAGTATGAAGCAAAAGCAGTGCTAAGAGGAATGTTCATAAAAATAAGTCCCTTAATTAAAAAGGGGAAAGATTTCAAACAACCTAATTTTACATTTCAAGAAACTAGAAAAAGAAACCAAGCCCAAAATTAGGAGAAGATAGGAAATACAAAGATTAGAGCAGAAATAAATGAAATAAAGAACAGAAAAAAACATAAAACTAACAGTTTTTTTAAAAAAAAACAAGCAAAGTTGACATACCCTTAAACTAAGAAAGAAAGAAAGAGAGGACTCAAAATCAGAAATAAAAATAGAGACATTACAACTGATGCCACAGAAATAAAAAAGATCAGTAGAGACTAATATGATCAACCTAGAAGAAAATTCTTAGAAACATACAACCTACCAATAAAGAAATAGAAGGTCTGAACAGATCTATAACTAGTATGGATATTGAATTAGTAACAAAAACCTCCCCAAAAAGAAAAGCCCAGAGCTGCATAGCTTCATGTGTTCATTCCACCAAACATTTAAGGATGAACTAATACCAATCCTTCTCAAACTCTTCAAAAAAAAAAAAAAAAATGAACAGGAGGGAACAATTCCAAACTCAATTTATTAGGCCAGCATTAGTCTAATATCAATACCAGGAAAAGACAGCACAAGAAAACCAGAGGCCAATATCCCTGAATAATATAGACACAAAAATTCTCAAGAAAATGCTACCAAAGCAAATCCACCCACACATTAAAAGGATTATACATTGTTGCTAAGTAATATTTATCCCTGGGATACAAATATGATTCAACATATGAAAACTAATATGATACATTAATGGAGCAAATCATGAAAATCATATGATCATTGCAATAGATACAGAAAAAGTGTTAGGCAAAATTCAACATTCTTTCATAATAAAAACTCTTGATAAACTAGGAATAGAAGAAAATTACTTCAAGATAATAAAGACCATATATGAAAAGCCCACAGCTAATATTATACTCAGAGAAAAACAAAGTGTTTCCTCTAACATCAGGAACAAGATGAGGATGCCCACTCTTGCCATTTCCATTCAATATAGTACTAGAAGGCCTAGCCAGAGCAATTGAAGGGAAAAACCAAAAGACATCCAAATCAGAAAGGAGGATGTAAAATTGTAGATGACATAGTCTTATATTAATGTTTATAAAACCCTAAAAACACCATTATAAAAAAATCCATTAAAGCTAATACATGAATTCAGTAAACTTGCAGGTTGCAAAATCAATATAAAAAAATCAACTGAATACCTATACATGAACAAAATATCTGAAAAGTAAATTAGGACAACAATCCCATTTATGTTAGTGCCAAAAAGAGTGAATAAAAAACCTAGTAATAAATCTAACTAAGGTGGTAAAAGACTTGTATACAAAAAGATATAAAACACTGATGAAAGAAATTCAACAAGACAAAAACAAATGGAAAGACATCCTGTGTTCATGCACTGGAAAACTTAATATTATTAAAATGTTCATACTTCCCAAAGAGATCTATAGATTCAAAGCAATCTCTATATTAAAACCCCAATGGCATTTTTACATAAATAGAAAAATATTCTGAAGTTTATATGGAGCCACAAAAACCACCAATAGCCAAACCAATCTTGAGAAATAAGAACAAAGCTGAAAGCCTCGCACTGCCTGATTTCAAAGTACATTACCAAGCTGTAGTAATCAAAAGAGTATGGTAGTCCAGGTACAGTGGCTCATGCCTATAATCCCAGCCCTTTAGGAGGCAAATGTGGGTGGATCACTTGAGCTCAGGAGTTTGAGACCAACCTGGGCAACACAGCAAAACCCTATCTCTACAAAAAATACAAAAATTTGCTGGGCATGGTGGTGTGCATGTGTAGTCCCAGCTATCTGGGGGGCAGGAGGATTGCTTGAGCCTGGGAGGTCAAGGCTGCAGTGAGCCAAGAGTGCACCACTATACTCCAACCTGGGTGACAAAGTGAGAACCTGTCTTAAAAAACAACAAGAGGAGGAGCCAAGATGGCCGAATAGGAACAGCTCCGGTCTACAGCTCCCAGCGTGAGCGACGCAGAAGACGGGTGATTTCTGCGTTTCCATCTGAGGTACCGGGTTCATCTCACTAGGGAGTGCCAGACAGTGGGCACAGGTCAGTGGGTGCAGCGCACGGTGCACAAGCTGAAGCAGGGCGAGGCATTGCCTCACTCCAGAAGCGCAAGGGGTCAGGGAGTTCCCTTTCCTAGTCAAAGAAAGGGGCAACAGATGGCACCTGGAAAATCGGATCACTCCCACCCGAATACTGCGATTTTCCGACGGGCTTAAAAAATGGCACACCATGAGATTATATCCTGCATCTGGCTCGGAGGGTCCTATGCCCACGGAGTCTCACTGACTGCTAGCACAGCAGTCTGAGATCAAACTGCAAGGTGGCAGCGAGGCTGGGGGAGGGGCGCCTGCCATTGCCCAGGCTTGCTTAGGTAAACAAAGCAGCCGGGAAGCTCCAACTGGGTGGAGCCCACCACAGCTCAAGGAGGCCTGCCTGCCTCTGTAGGCTCCACCTCTGGGGGCAGAGCACAGACAAACAAAAAGACAGCAGTAACCTCTGCAGACTTAAATGTCCCTGTTGAAGAGAGCAGTGGTTCTCTCAGCACACAGATGGAGATCTGAGAATGGGCAGACTGCCTCCTCAAGCGGGTCCCTGATCCCTGACCCCGGAGCAGCCTAACTGAGAGGCACCCCCCCCAAGTAGGGGCAGACTGACACCTCACATGGCTGGGTACTCCTCTGAGACAAAACTTCCAGAGGAATGAACAGACAACAGCATTCGCGGTTCATGAAAAACCACTGTTCTGCAGACACCGCTGCTGATACCCAGGCAAACAGGGTCTGGAGTGGACCTCTAGCAAACTCCAACAGACCTGCAGCTGAGAGTCCTGTCTGTTAGAAGGAAAACTAACAAACAGAAAGGACATCCACACCAAAAACCCATCTGTACATCACCATCATCAAAGACCAAAAGTAGATAAAACCACAAAGATGGGGAAAGAAACAGAGCAGAAAAACTGGAAACTCTAAAAAGCAGAGCACCTCTCCTCCTCCAAAGGAACGCAGTTCCTCACCAGCAACGGAAAAAAGCTGGACGGAGAATGACTTTGACGAGTTGAGAGAAGAAGGCTTCAGACGATCAAACTACAAGCTACAGGAGGAAATTCAAACCAAAGGCAAAGAAGTTAAAAACTTTGAAAAAATTTCAGACGAATGTATAACTAGAATAACCAATACAGAGAAATGCTTAAAGGAGCTAATGGAGCTGAAAGCCAAGGCTCGAGAACTACTTGAAGAATGCAGAAGCCTCAGGAGCCGATGCGATCAACTGGAAGAAAGGGTATCAGCCATGGAAGATGAAATGAATGAAATGAAGCGAGAAGGGAAGTTTAGAGAAAAAAGAATAAAAAGAAACGAACAAAGCCTCCAAGAAATATGGGACTATGTGAAAAGACAAAATCTACATCTAATTGGTGTACCTGAAAGTGACGGGGAGAATGGAACCAAGTTGGAAAACACCCTGCAGGATATTATCCAGGAGAACTTCCCCAATCTAGCAAGGCAGGCCAACATTCAGATTCAGGAAATACAGAGAACGCCACAAAGATACTCCTCGAGAAGAGCAACTCCAAGACACATAATTGTCAGATTCACCAAAGTTGAAATGAAGGAAAAAATGTTAAGGGCAGCCAGAGAGAAAGGTCCGGTTACCCACAAAGGGAAGCCCAACAGACTAACAGCAGATCTCTCAGCAGAAACTCTACAAGCCAGAAGACAGTGGGGGCCAATATTCAACATTCTTAAAGAAAAGAATTTTCAACCCAGAATTTCATATCCAGCCAAACTAAGCTTCATAAGTGAAGGAGAAATAAAATACTTTATAGACAAGCAAATGCTGAGAGATTTTGTCACCACCAGGCCTGCCCTAAAAGAGCTTCTGAAGGAAGCACTAAACATGGAAAGGAACAACCGGTACCAGCCAGTGCAAAATCATGCCAAAATGTAAAGACCATTGAGACTAGGAAGAAACTGCATCAACTAACGAGCAAAATAACCAGCTGACATCATAATGACAGGTTCAAATTCACACATAACAATATTAACTTTAAATGTAAATGGACTAAATGCTCCAATTAAAAGACACAGACTGGCAAATTGGATAAAGAGTCGAGACCCATCGGTGTGTTGTATTCAGGCAACCCATCTCACCTGCAGAGACACATATAGGCTCAAAATAAAAGGATGGAGGAAGATCTACCAAGCACATGGAAAACAAAAAAAGGCAGGGCTTGCAATCCTAGTCTCTGATAAAACAGACTTTAAACCAACAAAGATCAAAAGAGACAAAAAAGGCCATTATATAATGGTAAAGGGATCAAGTCAACAAGAAGAGCTAACTATCCTAAATATATATATACACCCAATACAGGAGCACCCAGATTCATAAAGCAAGTCCTGAGTGACCTACAAAGAGACTTAGACTCCCACACATTAATAATGGGAGACTTTAACACCCCACTGTCAACATTAGACAGATCAACGAGACAGAAAGTCAACAAAGATACCCAGGAATTGAACTCACGTCTGCACCAAGCGGACCTAATAGACATCTACAGAACTCTCCACCCCAAATCAACAGAATATACATTTTTTTCAGCACCACACCACACCTATTCCAAAATTGACCACATACTTGGAAATAAAGCACTCCTCAGCAAATGTACAAGAACAGAAATTATAACAAACTATCTCTCAGACCACAGTGCAATCAAACTAGAACTCAGCATTAAGAAACTCACTCAAAACCGCTCAACTACACGGAAACTGAACAACCTGCTCCTGAATGACTACTGGGTACATAACAAAATGAAGGCAGAAATAAAGATGTTCTTTGAAACCAACGAGAACAAAGACACAACATACCAGAATCTCTGGGACACATTCAAAGCAGTGTGTAGAGTGAAATTTATAGCACTAAATGCCCACAAGAGAAAGCAGGAAAGATCCAAAATTGACACCCTAACATCACAATTAAAAGAGCTAGGGAAGCAAGAGCAAACACATTCAAAAGCTAGCAGAAGGCAAGAAATAACTAAAATCAGAGCAGAACTGAAGGAAATAGAGACACAAAAAACCCTTCAAAAAATTAATGAATCCAGGAGCTGGTTTTTTGAAAGGATCACCAAAATTGATAGACCGCCAGCAAGACTAATGAAGAAAAAAAGAGAGAAGAATCAAATAGACGCAATAAAAACTGATAAAGGGGATATCACCACCAATCCCACAGAAACACAAACTACCATCAGAGAATACTACAAACACCTCTACGCAAATAAACTAGAAAATCTAGAAGAAATGGATAAATTCCTCGACACATACACTCTCCCAAGACTAAACCAGGAAGAAGTTGAATCCCTGAATAGACCAATAACAGGAGCTGAAATTGTGGCAATAATCAATAGCTTACCAACCAAAAAGAGTCCAGGACCAGATGGATTCACAGCTGAATTCTACCAGAGGTACAAGGAGGAACTGGTACCATTCCTTCTGAAACTATTCCAATCAATAGAAAGAGAGGGAATCCTCCCTAACTCATTTTATGAGGCCAGCATCATCCTGATACCAAAGCCAGGCAGAGACACAACCAAAAAAGAGAATTTTAGACCAATATCCTTGATGAACATTGATGCAAAAATCCTCAATAAAATACTGGCAAACCGAATCCAGCAGCACATCAAAAAGCTTATCCACCATGATCAAGTGGGCTTCATCCCTGGGATGCAAGGCTGGTTCAATATACGCAAATCAATAAATGTAATCCAGCATATAAACAGAACCAAAGACAAAAACCACATGATTATCTCAATAGATGCAGAAAAGGCCTTTGACAAAATTCAACAACCCTTCATGCTAAAAACTCTCAATAAATTGGGTATTGATGGGACATATCTCAAAATAATAAGAGCTATCTATGACAAACCCACAGCCAATATCACACTGAATGGGCAAAAACTGGAAGCATTCCCTTTGAAAACTGGCACAAGACAGGGATGCCCTCTCTCACCACTCCTATTCAACATAGTGTTGGAGGTTCTGGCCAGGGCAATCAGGCAGGAGAAGGAAATAAAGGGTATTCAATTAGGAAAAGAGGAAGTCAAATTGTCCCTGTTTGCAGACGACATGATTGTATATCTAGAAAACCCCATCGTCTCAGCCCAAAATCTCCTTAAGTTGATAAGCAACTTCAGCAAAGTCTCAGGTTACAAAATCAATGTGCAAAAATCACAAGCATTCTTATACGCCAATAACAGACAAACAGAGAGCCAAATCATGAGTGAATTCCCATTCACAATTGCTTCAAAGAGAATAAAATACCTAGGAATCCACCTTACAAGGGACGTGAAGGACCTCTTCAAGGAGAACTACAAACCACTGCTCAAGGAAATAAAAGAGGATAAAAACAAATGGAAGAACATTCCATGCTCATGGGTAGGAAGAATCAATATCGTGAAAATGGCCATACTGCCCAAGGTAATTTACAGATTCAATGCCATTCCCATCAAGCTACCAATGACTTTCTTCACAGAATTGGAAAAAACTACTTTAAAGTTCATATGGAACCAAAAAAGAGCCCACATTGCCAAGTCAATCCTAAGCCAAAAGAACAAACCTGGAGGCGTCACGCTACCTGACTTCAAACTATACTACAAGGCTACAATAACCAAAACAGCATGGTACTGGTACCAAAGCAGAGACATAGATCAATGGAACAGAACAGAGCCCTCAGAAATACCGCCGCATATCTACAACTATCTGATCTTTGACAAACCTGAGAAAAACAAGCAATGGGGAAAGGATTCCCTATTTAATAAATGGTGCTGGGAAAACTGGCTAGCCATATGGAGAAAGCTGAAACTGGATCCCTTCCTTACACCTTATACAAAAATCAATTCAAGATGGATTAAAGACTTAAACGTTAGACCTAAAACCATAAAAACCCGAGAAGAAAACCTAAGCATTCCCATTCAGGACATAGGCACGGGCAAGGACTTCATGTCTAAAACACCAAAAGCAATGGCAACAAAAGCCAAAATTGACAAATGGGATCTAATGAAACTAAAGAGCTTCTGCACAGCAAAAGAAACTACCATCAGAGTGAACAGGCAACCCACAAAATGGGAGAAAATTTTCGCAACCTACTCCTCTGACAACAGGCTAATATCCAGAATCTACAATGAACTTAAACAAATTTACAAGAAAAAAACAAACAACCCCATCAAAAAGTGGGTGAAGGACATGAACAGACACTTCTCAAAAGAAGACATTTATGCAGCCAAAAGACACATGAAAAAATGCTCACCATCACTGGCCATCAGAGAAATGCAAATCAAAACCACAATGAGATATCATCTCACACCAGT